>NC_000006.12:5363030-5514545 GCF_000001405.40 Homo sapiens | reverse complement strand
AGCCAATTGTGGGGTGAATTCCCTAAGGCCAGAATGTCCCAACTTTAAATTCATACTGAAAAACTTTTAGACATTTAGAACAGATTTTCATGAATGTTTAGACTTTTAAATGCAGCCAAGCCTCTCTAAATAATAAATGCAATTAGGCAAGTCCCAATTACTATTACAGAATGACTATGCAAGACAAGGCTACCCACATTTCTGAGACGATCAAGAATTTTGTCTTTTTAATGTTCCTCTAAAGTAAATTTCCTTCCATTAGAAATGTGTACTTGGAGAGAATTTCATTATAATTCACAAAACTTGCTTTAACTAGGTGGCTGGCAGATTACTTATGCTTCATTTAAGGGTTTGGCTGCATATTTGTGAATCTGTAATACACACAATATTTCTTTAAACTACAACACATCTGGCACATTCCTAGATTCACTTTATCATATATATATATATATATATGTCCAGATTTTTATGTTAATTTTCTATTTTTTCCCTACTTTACTGCATTGTATACTCTCCTTAAGTATCCTCAAACCTCCTGTATACCATGGGAGAACACAAATCCCCAATGAAGAGATACAACAGTGCATTTGGCTGGATCAATAGTTGTTAAATTTTTTTTTTTTAGATAACCTAAAGATACCTCATAAAGTCATTTTTTCTTGAACTCTTGTGATCTGTAATGGTACAGAAAGCCTTCCCCACCCTGGGAACCTGGCAGGGCCCTGACTAGGGCCTACGTGCCCACTTAGACAGCAATAAACTCTGAGAACTCAGCATTCATTTTCTGTGACTGAGGGCTGCTGAATGAGATCAGGAAACTAAACGCTTAATAAACAGTAGTTACTATGACGTTACCATTCTTATCACCCTGGACAACCTGCTGCCTCCCTGCACACACAGAAGAGGCTCAGGAACAGAAGGCCACAAGGCAATGCCAGGAGTAGAAAAAGGTAGAGGCAGCAGCCAGAACGAAAAGACACAGGCGCCCTGGATGGCATTTGAGACTCGAACACAAAGAGTGCAAACTTCTCTATTTTCCCTGATTGCCTCCAAATCATTCTAGACCTTCGGCTAAATATCACTTCTTCAGGTGGCCTCCCATGGCCTTCTGAATTAGGATAACTTCCCCTGTCAGTACTTTCTGGTATGGTCCTTTTTGTAATATTCAGGTATTCACTCAAAAACATTGACTGAGTCCCTCCTACATGTCAGGCACTGCTCAAGTTAATGTGGATACAACACAAACACGGCTCAGCTCCTTTCCCCAGAGTTCCAGTCTCAGGTAATAACCTCGCTGTTCACAAGGTTCCTGACTATCTGAACTCCATTCCCTCCCTCACCTGTCACATGAGATGAGTCACTAGGACTTGCTGATTTTGACCTCTGGATTCCTTCGTGAACCTAGTTTCTCTCCATCCCAACCACCGCCACCTCATAGTGTCCACCCTCTCCCCTAGGAAATATTCCCATAGCCTCCATCAGGTTTTCCAGCCTGCCATCCACCCCTCTCCAACCCAACCCACGCATCTGCAATTGGAGTGTCTAGGATGAAAATCAGACAAGGACACTTTCTTGCGTCAAACCTATCCAGGGTCCCCAGTGTGTCTGATGACTGGACATCAGTCTACATTTTTCCCTCACTCCCATATTCTCCCATGTGAGACCTGTGCTTCTGCCATAATGAACTATTTGCAGTCCCCAACCTATGTTCTCCTTTTTTTATGCCTACTAATGACACCTAGCACACACAGTTCCTGTCACCTACTTTGTGCTTAATACATATTTTTTGCTGAAAAGAATGAATGCATGAAAGTGTTTGTGTTTTTACATTTACTAGGCCTTCTGCTTGAATTGTCCTTTGTCACCAAATTATCAATGTCTTTATCACATTTGAATCTCGGGTGCCTGGCACAGCATCTGTAACCTAGGAAATGCTGAGTAATGTTTTCAGACTAAATGGATGGACAAATAATTGACGGGCAAACCATCTACCTTAGCTTAGGACACAAAGTGGAATACAAGTAGGTAGAAAGCAATGATTTCTCCTTCATAAAGACACCCAAAAGCCTTTGCTAATTTCCTTCAGGAACATGAACAATGCAAGTCTTGAGAGGTAAAATCAGAATAAATTATTAGTGACCCCAAGGAGAAGACATGCCCTTCTTGTTTCATTTTGTTTTTAATTTGGCTGCTATTGATTGAGGTAGCATAGAGGTAGCACCAGGTAATGGAAAGAGCATTGCCCTGGGAGTCGGAGGACCTGAAGTCAATTCCAGAACTGGCTCTCCCTCTAATTAGCTGTGTGGCCTGAATTCAGCTGAATCAGAAGCAAGCCCACCCCCCGGGCCTCCTATTATGTGAGCAATTGAATTTCCTTTTTTTGCTTTAGTTGGGTTTCTGACTCTTGGAACTAAAAGAGTGCTGACTAACATCCCATTCTTATCATCTCTTGTGGTTGCATTTACTGGGCGGGTAAGCCAAAAAATGCCATAAATAAAGCATATTCTGATTATAGCAAAGCACTTGGCTGAAGTCCCTAGAATATACTCACAAAAGAGAAAAGAGGACTCAACTGTTTATTTAGATGGATCTGAAACTTGTTGAACCTTTATATGTGAAAAGTTCTGATTAATGAATGTGTACACATGGAAAGAGGTTTCTTGTATCCTCTAACAGACTCCTGAACCTGTCCCTGTTCTATTTAGGGTTCTCAGCAGCCACTCAGAGAAATAAAAGGGGTGCTTATGAGACTTCTAGATCCCTCAAAGCTAGAAGAAATCATTAATATAACAGAGGCATGAGTCAAGATTCACCAGTTTAATGAGGAAAACAGAGAAAAGGCATGGTTAGGGCCACAGGTCTACGAAATGACCCTTTTCCTCCAATAGCCCTCCTAATACATTACCTGGCTTAGGCATTACCTGGCTTAGGAAATGAGACTCTTCTGTTTTTCTCTTTGGTTTTTATGGCTTGTAATGAAGTTTCTTGTCTGCTTGTGTGTTTTTATTCTACTTTGTGCGCAGGGTATTATTTCTTAATTGTACCTATTCCTGGAATTATTTGGGAAACTTGCCCATTTGTGATTAATTAGCTTTTTGATTATTATGTGTTTAAGAGCCTTGTGCCTTCAGGCATGTGCACCTAAAAATTAAAATGTATTAATACGAACATAATGAAATCAATATGATTTTATGTAACTGCATGATTTATGCTTATTGAGGAAGTTATTTAAGTATAATTTATAGGTTAGTTCTTACAGCACAAATGCTTTCCTTCTCCTCATTTTCTCTTTTTCTCCTGCAGGAAAATTGCAAGATCCCTTAAATACCTTCTCATGTACAAAATCTTCATCTTGGCATCTATCATTCTTTCTTGTTCTTACTTCTGTCCCTCTACCATTCATGTGCTGGTTTGACTAAACGTTGGACCAATCTGGGGTGAAAGTGTGGGACACTTGTGCCATCTGGCCTCTCCTTCTCCCTCCTGTGTCTTGAGAGAGAAGGGAAGCTCAGTCCCCTCTGAGCTCAAGCATGGGAGACAACTCAGGCTCTGATCCTCAGGATCCCCGCAAGCCCTGCTGAGGGAGGGAGAGGAGGAGATCTCACATCAAGCCCACTGGGGGGCTGCATCTCTGCATACCGGTAAAGCCCAGCACAGACAGGCACTCCTAGGCATCGGCCTGCCATTAATAAATACCAGCTCATCTCTCATTGGCTCATTAACTTCCTGAGGTCATCTCCTCTGACAGTGAATCCCCAAAAGGACAAGAGGACAAGAGGGGGGTGGGTGGGGCTCAGACACAAGGCTGGGAACCCGTTCTACTACATATGGGGTCAAGCTCATCACTGTGTCAGCACTCACGTACTCGCTTCTCACGCGGCCAGCGCTGGTGAGTGTGCTAGCTCTCTAGCAGGTCCAGGGGCTGCAAAGATGAGTGAGACACAGGCTCCGCACACAAACAGCTCACAACCCTCTCCCGCGCTCAAAAGGCACCGTGTGCCCACCGTGTGCAAAGCCCTGGGCGTGCGGCGGGCATTCAGGAGCTTAAAGACTAACTAGGGCGAAAGACAGGCCAGGCTGCGGCGGAACTCACGGTCAGACAAATGCTCTCTGAGGTCTGAAGGGGAGAGGCTGCTTCAGCTCCGCAGTTCTGTTGGGGTTGCCTGGAAGGAGGCAGGCCAGGATGGCACCCTGCAGGGAGAGGGCGAAGGGACCAGGCAGCATCTCCCCTAAGGGGTCGACCCAGGCAGAGTCTTCCCTAAGGGGTCGACTAACTCATCTGCCACCCCTGAGGAAAAATAATGTAACGTTTCACTCTGCAGATATCCACAGAATCACTGAACTAAAAAAAAATTTGAAATGAGGCAAAATCTTTGTTTAAATAGAAAAGGGAGCAAAAACCAACCAACCAACCAAACAAACAAACAAAAAACCCCTCCAAACCCCAGCCTTTGGTTGTCCTATAAAAATCTAGCGGTGCTGCCTTCTTGCCATCTATCCAGATGACACTCTCCTTAATCCCCAGCCCAACACTGGCGGGCCTCACAAAATGTAGAGCTAAAATTACAGTTAACACCACCATAAAGAGCTCCACATTAAATGAGAAAACAAAATTGGGCGACATAATGTATTTTGAGTAAGAGGAAAATAAACCAGAAACGATGTGTATATATAAACATGTAGAGGAGTGTGCATATGCTATGTGTTGGTATATATAGATGTTGTGTTGTGGATAATGCTCTTCCCAGTAACCTGTTTTTTAAAAACCAGCACACTCCAGCAGGTATCCCCATAAAGAAACCACCCACTTTCTGCAGAGACCACAGTCCCCACGCTCAGTCTTTCCTGCTGAGCTTCCACAGCTCTCCCGCTCTGGCGCCAAGCTAGATGGACCACCCTCTGGACATCCTTTTCTCCATCATTATCGACTCCTTGGAAAAGTAAGCCACTCACAAGTAGCTGGGACCTCTCGCCTTACCCTTAAGAACCCATTTTCCTGCACTATGCCCATCGAGTCTGCCCCTTGTCTGCCGAGCTGCACTGGAATTGTAAAAACCAGGACCAACTGTGTCCTACCAGGAACAACTCACTTCCCCAGTGTGCTCACGAGATTTCTTTGTGACATTTTCATCAGCTACGTGGTGTAAACTAGGAGCCATTCACCAGACGGAGGGGCCGCTGCTTTAATCAAACCTTGTAACTTGTTCCCTTTCTCTTATCTGCATACGCAAACCCAGTGTCACCCTCGAGCTCCACGCCAAGGAATGCTGGGCAGGAGAACCTGGGCAAAGCTGGAAGTTTAGTATCTCAGGAAGACAGTGTTCTCAGCAATTCTGATTGGGTGAAATGAAATCTTGGCTACAAGGTTAACAGCTTTTACCTAATGTCTACGTCTATTCTCTAAGGTTGAAAATGTTTTTTCATCCCTTCTATCAGGGATTGGCAAACTATGGTGTGGCCCTTGGGGCAAACACAGCCACACGCATGCATGGATGTATTTCTCTGGTTGCTTTCACACTACCATGGCAGAGCCGAATAGTGACAAAAATCAACTGGAGACCAGCCCGCAAAACTCAAAATGTTTACTATTTGGTCCTTTACAGAAAATGTTTGCTGACTCCTTCCTTTATATTTGTCACTAAATACTGTCGTTTCTTCCTCCGAAAGTCTTCTCCATTTCTCAGTGCCCCCTCATTTCCAATGATAGTACTATGATTCAAATTCTGTCCACCTCTCCGTGCGGGATAGCTTCCCATTCCAGTCCGCCCTGCGTACGGCTGCCTGGCTGTCATCCTGTCACTTGCTGAATCCTCTCAAACCCATGCCCAAGAACATACATGCTCTTAGTTGCCACCAGAGGCAATCTCCTAATTTTACCTTTCAGGGCCTTCAATTCAGACTTCGGTCTCACTTCTGTCCTGTACCCTTTGGGCCTGTGCCCTCCCTGTGGGTACACCCATGCTTTCCTCCACTGCTGGGAGGGCTTCAGCCCCTCCCCCGCCCCACCTGCCAGCACTCTGCTCCCCTTTCCCCAAGAAGATCTCCTGCTAATTCACAGATTCCCTCCTGGCCTCTCTGCATTCTGCCCTCTGGTTCAGTCCCTGCTGTCATGTGTTCACTCACTTGAGCTTGTTTCTTGCTGAATTATCTGCTCATCTTATAGATTCCAATGGTAACAAAAAATAAATTAGGACAAAGACTACAAGAAAGATTCTGATGAGAGGAATCCACGTGGGGGATGATCCCCTCGGAGATGTGGCATCCAAAACTATACTAGGTCTCAACATGGGGATCACCTACATTCCTGGTGAAAATTCCTCTCTTGGTGCACACTGCACTTAATGGTTTATATCACTGACTTGATTGTTTTCCCAGACATTTCACATCTTTGCCTTTCATCTCTTCAAAGAGTTAATAACTCCCCATTAGAATATGCATATATATTGCAGTGCTAGAAAATAAGTAGAGGAACTTAATAACTTATTGTGAAACATAGAAGCATACCTTGCTTTAATAAAACTTCATGCCTTGTTCCCTTTCTCTATTTGCCTATAAAAACCCAGAACTCTCAATCACTTGCTTACCAGACATTCTGAAATTGAGAAGCAAAAGAAACCTTCTCCTACCTCGGGGCATAAGCTCTGGCCACCCATCCCATTTGGATCGTCAGGTTTTAACAGGCTACACACTTATAAACAAATTCTTATACACCTCTAAGTTCTTCTCCCCTGCTCTCTGCTTCTCCCTTGTCCCTCTGCTCCCTCCGGTCTTCTCTCTGTGTGCCATCATGGCGTGTCCGCAGTCTGACCCACTAGCCGGGAGGCCACTGAGAGGTGGGCTGGGACACTGGAAAATGAGCTTCATTTAGAAATTAAGCTCAAATCATAAGTTCTGCCTCTCTTAAAAGCTATTACCATTGACAATGAACAGCTCTGCTTCCTCTTCACGTTCTCTTAAAGCCATCATGAGCCCCTGCCTTCCACCCCAGCCTGCCAATTACACACTCCTGTCAGGGGACTTTCACTTTTAACTGCTTTTTACAGACATAAGTGAAAGTACTAAAAATTAAAAGCTGAAAGGAGATGAAAAGAAACATGCTTCAAACTCCTTCTCAGCCATTACGAATCAACAGGAGCTAAACATCAGATTTTTTTTTTTTAAAGAGCTTCCTTTTTATGAACAAGTAAAACGTATGTAGAAGAGAATACCTCAAACCCCAAATGGGTTGTGCATGTAACATTTTAACTCGTGTGCCCAGTTCCTAAGTAAATGTTACCAGTGTGACCACACTTAACAGTGGAAAGCTAGTCAGCCATGGCAGAGTTCAGCAACTGCTATTGTTAACCACACTGTAAATGTGTTAGAAGCCATCACTTTTTTTGCTGCCAAATTCTGAAACCTCTGTCTCTGAAAGGCTGCAAGCACTGTATTCACAGAGAAGGTAGGTGGCAGAAAGGGGTTAAAGAGGTTAGGTGTCTGTGTGAATCGGATTTTAGAAAGATCTAAAACTCCAAACAGCAGTGTGCATGCACTCAAATGTGCAAAACTGGAAAAAGTCATCCTATGTTGAAAAATCAAAGCCATTTACAGTAGACATGTATCCAGGAAAGGGGGCAGTCTTTAAATATATGGTTAGCCTCTTAGCCTCTCTCTGTGAAAAACTCTGGATTGCCAAGAGCAACACTGAAGATTTACTGTTATAGTCAGATTTCCCCTGCTATCTTATTGTTCACGAACTTTCAGAGCGATTCTCCATCTAGCTGTTTTCATGAATGCCTCAGTGATCAACCACTGAAGCAGATGACCTTTCTCACCAGTTGCCATGTCTATTAGCTAAATCTGCTCTTTCCCCTCAAAGCAGATCCTTCCCAGGCTCCAAGCATCTTCGTGTAATGTTATGAAGGTTTGTATATGCTGGGTGTCCACAGAGTGATACCCGTCTGGAATCTTAGGCAGTGGTGGGAGGTGCTAGAGACAAACCAGGGAAGCTTCTGCACTGATCCCAACCAAAACATGGGGAAGGAGCCTGCAGAATTGTAAACAGAAGACAATTCGGTGGTTAAGAGGCTGTGCCCAGCCCCACTCTCTCTAGCTGCCCATTTGAATGTTGGACCAACAGTGGGGCATTCACAAATCTTGAGAGTCAAGGTTCAGGTTTTAGTTTCAACTCACAGTGGGGTTCCTCTATTCTGCTGGCCTTGTTTTCTCTCTGCTAAAAAACTTCCGTTAGAGTGACTCTCCTGACCCCACACCCTGCCCTTTACTGAGTCCCGCTAGGAGCTCAGTACTCCCTAGGAGGAGCAAGTTACTTGCTGGTCCATATTTCTGGATGAGGCGGAGCTGATCTACTAAAAGACCTTGAAGTTGGGAATAGGCTTTCTTGCCCTGCTCTCCACTGGGACAGCTGAGAGACTATGCTTGTTATGCAGACCCCACCATTCTCCAGGTTGGGCTGGAGGGGAGGGAGGGAGAGCAGGTCCTCTTGATGCAGATGCAAAGCCATGTGATTCCATCAGCTGAGGAGAAATAAAGCTGACATTCTCTTTCCTTCACCTGTTTCAATGTCTTAATTTGCTTAAAACTCAGGTGGAAAAGAAAAGACTCTTCTGGCTGCCAACAGCAAGTAAACTTAAATTTACAATAGCAAAAGGTTAATTTATTATAAAAATGTTTGTAATATTATAATAGCTGGTGGAACTGAAGGGGAGTCTCAGGAAAAACCACACCCTGGATATCAAACATACTGTTTTCATTCTGCATCTGCTGTCTTCCTTTTCTGTTTGCAGACTGGCTACCTCTGCTCCTCAAGTGCAAAGTTGAGAAACATGATTGTTCAATGCTCTCAGGCATCGCATCCTATAGCTTCAGCCATTGAAGAGGGACAGTATGTTGCGGGAAGTCAGGGACCCCAAACGGAGGGATCAGCTGAAGCCATGGCAGAAGAACGTGGATTGTGAAGATTTTATGGACATTTATTAGTTCCCCAAATTAATACTTTTATAATTTCCTATGCCTGTCTTTACTTTAATCTCTTAATCCTGTCAGCTGAGGAGGATGTATGTCGCTTCAGGACCATGTGGACAGTACTCTTTCTTCTCTTAAATCCAAAATTCTCTGGCTAAAAGTGTGATTGCCTCCACAGTGAGGGGACCATTGCCAGACAGACAACTGTCCAAGTTGGAGTGGAGCTACTCAATTAAGAAAGGGGGTCATGGTGGAGCAAAACCACTAAGGCACAACAGGAACTAAAGTATCAATCTGGAAGAGCGAAGGAAGCTCCCAGGGACTGAGCTGCTGGGCCTCCAAGCCTTTTCCATCTAATCTCAGCGTTTTGAATTCTACCATGTTTTAAACCTAAAGATTCACAAAAGCTATTAATAAAATAGCCATATAATTTATCATTCACACCAAGACACTTCTGAGAGTGAAAGTAGGTACCACAAATAATTAAAATTATATTATTTTGAAATGTCTATTTATTGACTGACAAACTGGTTTTCTCATAATCATGGATCTATATAATCACTCTTATTCAGAAACTATTTTCAAAACTAAAATCTTTCTTTAAAAAACGTCCAAGCCAGGTGTGATGGCTTGCATCTGTGGTCCCAGCTACTTGGGAGACTGAGGTGGCAAAGACTGCAGTGAGCCGAGATTGTGCCACTGCCCTCCAGCCGGGGTAACAGAGAGAAAGACCCTATGTCAAAAAAGAAAAAATAAAAGTCCACATACATTAAGGCAAAATATAAAAACTTTATATTCTTTACATTCTTTATGTTAATTATAAACATTTAAAAGTAATATAAATAGTAATTGGTCTTGGCATACATTTACATACCTTGAGCAGTTTTGTAACTGTATGTTTTGAATTCTGTCCTGGTATTTCTCTAAAAGTATTTGTGTTTGATACGAGCTTGGTGTCAGTAATTTTTGTCTCTTCCTTAATGTTGCATTTTGTGCGACTTGAAGTTGTTGACGTCTTCAATGGATGTTTCTGTTAAGTCCACACTATTTTAATTTTTGAAAACACCTAAGGGTAAGTGATAAGCTCAGAGCAAATCCTACCAAAGGAAAATGTTCTCAATTCTTTTTTTTTTTTTTTTTTTTTACTGGAAAGCATAAATATTTCATTCCCAATATTTTTAAAGGAACTATCTTTCTGCTTCCACTCAGTGTATAGGTCTTTAATGAAAACTTTAGCAAGATCAAGCTCTCATATTAATTGTCTCTCTTTATGATTCTTTTGAATATCTGACCAAATGTGGATGATGCAATATTATAAGCCTTTTCAACTTCATTCCATTGTGATATAGAATAAAAATTTATCCAGTAAAATACAGAAGTCTCATGAAAAAATTATTTCCATAACGTAGTTGTTCTAAGGAAAAATTATACAATTTTGAAATTAAATTTTGTGTACCTACCATTGGGCCCTCATCCTATAATTTGTCACTCCCTACTCTGCTTTTGTGAGGAAATACGGCAATATCTTCTAGCTGGCAGGCTGTGGTTTTAATAATGGCAAGTCTCTAAAACCTGCCTATGCTGAATTTCCTGATACTCCAGTAATTGAATACTTTTAAGATTTCCACTTGATTTGGGGCAAAAATGCAGACAAGATTTAAAGGATTCATACACTCATTACCAGTGTAGCATAGTTACAGTGAGATACAAAGAAGTTTTTCAAAGGCTGACATATTTCTAAAATCTGATCAATGACGGGGGCAAAGAGAGCAAGTGTGTTCTTCCCACAGTGAGGTGTGTTTTTGTATTTAACTTCAGTATTGAAAAAAATCTGTAGTTCAATCATTCTGTGTAAAGATATAAATATCTGTACATTTTTACAATGGCAGCTTCTAATTCTAAGAGTACAATATCACAACTCGTTTGGATACAATTATCAATTATATGTACATTCTATACTCAATGATTTTACAAAATACATTTCATATTATATACTTGTATATTTTATTTAAATATTTTAATTAATTTATTTTCTTTTAAAATCATATGTACTTGCGGTATGCAATAAGATGTTTTAATATACAAATGTATAGTGAAGTGATTACTACAGCCAGGCAAATTAATATAGCCATCATCTCACACAGTTATCTCTCTCTCTCTCTCTCTCTCTCTCTCTGTGTGTGTGTGTGTGTGTGTGTGTGTGTGTGTTAAGAATACCTAAAATCTACTCTTAGCAATTTCTAGTATATGATATAATATTATTGACCACAGTCCTTGTGCTGTAATTTCTAGACTTGTACTTCATAACTGCAACTTCATGTCTTTTGACCTACATCTTCCCATTTTTAATAAAATCTTTTATTTACTATTTTCTTAAAATATTTTTATATATTTTATTAATTTTTAAATTATGAATTATATACACATGTATCTTACCATCAATCCAGGTATATTTCTGCTACACTTTTCTTAATTTAGTGAGGATGTTGTTTTTATTAAAACATTGTTCTCCATAAAAGTTTTCATATATCATCACTACAAAAATAAATAATTTGATCATAAACATTGAGCTTTTTGAATGGATTTACAATCACACGCACAATCAGGTGTGTTACCTTTGACAAAATGAACTTCCAAAAGCATTCCTCTTATCCCATGAATCACATGGAAAAAAACAAAAAAAAATTCGAATTAACTGATTTTCTATTTGAAGTATCTGATGAGATGGCTGTGATATAAAATTGGCAGGATCACTTAACTGTTTGTAAAGCTCTTTTGCTAACTGAGCCAAGATATTAAAAGCTATACCTACATTTTTACATGTGTGCGAGAAAACCTGAACTCCAGAAAGAATGAAATTATCTTGAGAGTTACTTGTCTCACCTAAATGAAAAGTCATTCTTTGAAAACAATATGCAAAAATGCTGCATTGTGTTTCTTACATGCTCATCTTTGAAATGTTTAAAATTTTAAAAATTGTGAAGCCTTCTTCAATAGATTTCTTTCTTTTAGAAATCTGGTCAGTGATACTGTTCTGACTTTTATGTGAATGGTAAATATTGACAGGTTACACGTTCAATATCAACTTTCTTGACAAATCCAGTAATCCATTTTTCCTTAAAAGGTGCTTTTGGGGAGAGAGTAATTGCGACCAAAAGGGTTTATTGAAAAATAATTTTAAAAATTACCAAAAAGTAAAATAAATGAATAACTTCAGATGTATACCCTATAAAATGTGACAAACCCTTGCAGAAAGGGCATGCCAAACTATTCTCTGCATCTATAGGTTCTAACACATAATGGCTAAGCCTCTCTCCAACACATATTTTAACGAATAAATTGCTATAATTCTCACTGTTTCATCTGACTAAAGGCCAGTGGCTCCTGCACTTTGCAAGCTATGGAGTGATCCACGGCACAGCTGGCTGAGAGACCACAAGGCTGGCTGGGGTAGCAGTCTCAAATACTACTCCCACACCATGCTGGACTGGGAGGAGTTAACTGCCCCAGCCACTGGTGTGTCAGCACACTGTTTTATCAAGAGCACCTGCATGCTTCATTCAAGGAGGTATTGGCTCAGCTGCACTGTGAAAGGCCTGGGAGAAGAGAAGAACGTCATTGCTGGACAGATTTAGATTTCACTGAGAACTCTGCTCACTGCACACGCATCTCACATGTGACTGGAGGGGCAGGCAAGCTCAAAGGACAAAGCAAAGGTCTATCAAGCCCATTCTGGCATATTTTAATGCAACCCGTAATGATACTTTATTTTAAAAAATGAGAAACCAGCTGGGCGTGGTGGCTCACACCTGTAATCCCAGCACTTTGGGAGGCTGAGGCGGGCGGACCACTTGAGGTCAGAAGTTCAAGATCAGCCTGGCCAACGTGGCAAAACCCCATCTCTACTAAAAATACAAAAATTAGATGGGTGTGGTGGCTCACGCCTGTAGTCCCAGCTACTCAGGAGGCTGAGCCATGAGGATTGCTAGACCGGGAGGTGGAGGTTGCAGTGAGCTGAGATCACGCCACTGCACTCCAGCCTGGGCAACAGAGCAAGAATCCATCTCAAAAATAAATAAATAAATAAAAATAAAATAAAATAAAAAAATGAGAACCCCAAGACAATGCTAATTAGGAAGGTTAAAGGCACTAACTGGGACTGTCCTGGGCAAACTGAGCTGTGTAGTCACCTATCAGTTAATGGCTCTGTTAAGAAAATGTAATTAACACAGCTAAGAGTTGAGAACTTACCATGAAGCATATGCCAAGAGCTTTACAGGCAATATCTTTTTCAATACGCCCACAGTGAGCATATCTCTGAAATAGGTGTTATTTCTTCATTAGATTTATGTCCTTTGTTTACCTTAGTACAAGGCTGAGGTATACCGATACTACTTAAACTCTTTGAGGTTTAGATACTAGATGGCGAGTGGCAATGTTCATTCATATCATGTTTACATCTGCTGGCTTGGTCTGTCTAGCAACTCTAACCCCTTCTTTTGATAAGCACAGTCCAGTTTTCTCTGGGTGAATGAATCTTGTGTTTGTTAATCACTGCATTCCCTCTTCTAGCCCCATCTCCCAAAACAAGAACAAGACCAGACCTGGCATCTCTCTCTCTCTCTCTCTCTCTCTCTCTCTCTCTCTCGGGGATTTGAAGCTTGACTGGAATGTCACAAGGACAGAAAATGTTTTGTTCCAAGTCATTCCAGTGGCACCACCTTCAAGTGGCTGTCCTAAATACCAGAACTACCCTCTTCTTATCCTTTATCCTTTCAACTCTTCTACCGGTTCTGTGAATTATCCAGTGTCATTTTAATACATCCTCTCCTTTAAAAAAAAAAAATGTAAGGTAGCAAAAATTGGTGCTACAGCTTACAACCAAAGCACTCTGACTCCCTTAGCAATTAAACCTAGGTTTGTCTAACTCCAGAGTCCGTGCCTTAACCATGGTACCCTGGTATGTTCCTTAGCCAGCACCTGGTACCAGACAGGCCTGCAGTTTACCTGCTCTGATGAAAAACACTGAAGGTAACTGCACAGGCCTCTCCTCTGCAAGCTGCATCTGAGGCGCCTGGCCTTGCCCCACCCTCCGCTGGTGTGGCTGGCCTTGATTTCCCTTCAGTCATCCAGGAGAGATGCTTACTAATGTGGTGTCTTCCTCCTCAAGTCTTATTTGGTCTCCATTCTGCTTCGACAGAACCATATGGGCAGCTCTTTGCAGCCTGGGAGAAAAGCTGCATTTCTATGAGTACTTTCCCAGCCTCCACAGCAGCCTTTTCTCAAGAAGCTGAAGAAAACGCAGTACCCAAGTTACCAGAATTTCTCACTGTACCACACACATTTTCCCAAGCTAGAGAAAATAAAGTTTTCTAGGGAGAGAGGGAGGGAGGGCGAGAGGGAGGCAGCACAATGAAATAATAGAGAACAGGATCAGATACCCAATAGACTTCTTAAACGATGGCAAGTGGCAAAACTGCTGACACGAAGAATCATGTAAAACTTATATCTTCATAAAACAACACATTTGGAAAGGACACCACCCCTAGAATTGCTACCTCAGCTTGGTACAGTTGACATTTGCTTCTGCTGAAATTTCAGATGCCCCTTGTATTAATGTATGCAGAGAGAAGAAAGAAGGCATTGAAAAGGCAGCAACCATACAGGGACAGTTGAAAACCAACACAAAAGAAACAGGAAATGTAGGCCATTGCTGTACCCAAAGTTTAAGTAGTTAGTGACTACTATTTGAGTCACTTAGTTTTAAAAAGTAAAAGAACGACTTATGATCTCATCAAAGATATTCTGGCACACAGAACTAGATAAATGGCTTTGTACCAGTTTTCTATTTCTGCAGGCAATGATATCACCAAGCCAAAGGAAGCAAATTGGGAGACAATGATCCTGAAGTTCAAACTACAGCAAACGGTAAGAACTCTACGGGGAACTTGAGGGAAGTTTGAATTTTCTAAATGCATAGAATTAGGAGCAGCAATCATTAGCTGTCAATCCATTTAACTCACTCATGGATGAGCATGTTAGGGCCCAGAGAGATTAAATGACTTGCTCCAAGCTCACAGACCCAAGCAGTGCTAAATCTGAAAACAGAAATCAAACCTTCTGACCTTATTCTAACCATTCTTTCCTTTTCATTGCATTGCCCTAATTCACTCATGTCCTGCACTGAAGGGAACTAAAGTGCAGTCTGCGTCTCATGAAGGAAACATGTGTCTGGACCTCCCTAATAAAACCACTAGGGAAGCACCACACTATCTGACTTGCTTCCCTTCTTTCTACTCCCAAAAGACTTCATCCAGAAAAAAATGTCCACTCTCCCAGGTTCCTTGGGGTAGGCACACGTTGGCCAGAACCAAGTTAGTGAACTGCCAGTGAAAGGTCAGATGCAGCCTTCATCGATACACGCCTCGCCCAAGATTCTTTTAACAAGAAAAGGGCACCGCTTCGTGACCAGCCTGGCCAACATGGTGAAACCCCATCTCTGCTAAAGATACAAAAATTTGCTGGGCGTGGTGGTGCATGCCTGTAATCCCAGCTACTCAGGAGGCTGAGGCAGGAGAATCGCTTGAACCCAGGAGGCGGAGGTTGCAGTGAGCCAAGATGGCACCACTGCACTCCAGCCTGGGTGACAGAGTGAGACTCCATCTCAAGAAAAAAAAAGGCACTACTGGCTTCAATGGAAATGCAACTGCCTTGTTTCAATTTCTAGCATCCTGCTTAATTTATGTTGTAGGTTTTCCCAATTCAATTAAGGAGCTCCCTCGTCTTAACTCAGATATCTTAACCTTCTCTTCATGCTCCTATCCTGCTGTAAAGAAACAGGAATTCAATCTGAAAAGTGACTAAATGCTGGTGGTAAGTGACAGCTGCTTTGAGGAGGTATAGAGGAGTTAGTCATAGGTGACATAAAGCCAACTCTACTTTTTGTGTAAACTAAAAACAAAAAAAAAATACATGGATCATAAATCTAATTCAACAATTGAACTTAGCCAACATCTACTGAGTACCTGGTGCGTGCAGTCACTCCGCTGGTGTTAGAGACACGGTGATGAACAGATTCCTCCCTCAAGCAACTTAAACTCTAGAGGAGAAACACTTACGTTTTATGATAAGTAAAATAAGCTCCATCAGACAGTCAGATGGTTAACTTGGCCGATCTGATTCACCCTGGCATTTCCTTTCCCCGCTGATGCTCTTGAACGATAACTCTTAAAAACGAAACAAGCAAAAGCCTAGTGACACGAATAAAAGGAAAAAATAAGGAGCCTGAAAACTCTACCACTCAAATAATCTTCTCTTTTGAGATAATCCAGAACTGACTATTTTACCATCAGAGGAGGATGTGTTTCCAATTTAGAACACCAAAAGATGAAAAAAAATTTTAATCATTTCTTATCCTTTAAGATCTGTCCTAGATTCCATTCAATGAAACCACAAGTAACATCAAATCGCCTAACTCAACAAATATGTAAGTCCTAAACACCCCTAGAGAGTCCCTTCCATTCCCCAGGGCCCCCAGCACAGTAGGTGAAAGCAGATGTGATCAGAGAAGATAGCTATCCCTCTCAAAACTGGCTCTAGAGTTGTATAATTAGCTACACAATCCCTAAATTATAGCTCTCTGGGGAAAGAGGGTGAAACTATTTGTTTATTCACAATGAATGATAATGTAAAACAGTTAATTGCCTTCAGATGCTCACGCTCCTATTACAATGAAAGGTTAATGAATTACTTATTTAGGGTAGAGGAGAATAAATGAAAGGATTACATTTTAAAAATAAACATTTCCTAAAATTCTATTTAAAATAAAAGAATAATAAAATTACCCACATTTATTGCTCTCAGTCAGAACAATATTGAGGAAAATATTTTACATATATTTAGAGAACTATAAGAAGTTTGAATGATACCATTGGCATTCATTTTCCATGTTAAATATCTTATTTACCATGATAACAGTTAATACAGGCTTTTAACTGAAGGTGTGAAATGATGTTTGTTGAAACATTTTTATTTCTATTATTAATGAAATCAACACCCAATGTTCCTTTTACTCATTTTTCTGACATTTAATCCATGACAGCCAATCATTGTAGGTGCTGTTCAGTTTGTCCTTTATCCCACATTAAGATTTTCATTCTCATCAGGCCTGGCAAAAAGATTCACTATTTTAGAACAGCTCCAAACTCAACAGAGTTGCAACGATGCTGGCCCCTGGCCTGCTCCTAACATCTTGGTTTCCTTCTCTACATGGACTAGTTTCTCTGGGAACAGTTATCAATTCAAACTCACTCTTTCCTCATGTGGACTCAGTCATTTCAAACAGGATCATTTTTATATTATAATGATCATTATATGTATTGTTGTATTTTATATAATAATGATAACGATGCTACCATTCTTATAAGTAGGGATTTGGAGTTTTCAAAATCATCATACACGAGATTTCATTTAAGTCTCAGTACCATCCTATAAGGGAGTTAGCCTTACTTTTATATTGAATGCTGTTCACAGTAACAGGATTAGAGCTTCTTCACCCCATTTGGGGCTGAATCATGCCCCCTCAAAACATATATTCACAGCTGGGTGCAGAGGTGCATGCACACAGGCCCAGCTACTCAGGAGGCTGAGGTGGGAGGACTGCTTGAGGTCAGGAGTTTGAATCCAGCCTAGGCAATATAGTGAGACCTCTACCTCTAAAAAAATAAAATTAAATAAAAAGAAAGAAACAACAACAACAACAAAAACTTCATATATGAAAGTCCTAACCCCCAGGACCTCAGAACGTGATACAGCCTTTAAAGAGGTAATTAAGAGGTAATTAGTTAAAATGAGGTCATAAGATGGGCCCTAATCCAATTTGACTTGGATGTCCTTACAAGAAGAAGAGATTAGGACACAGATACACACAGAGGGAAAGACCATGTGAGGACACAGGGAGAAAGTAACCATCTACAAGCCAAGGAAAGAGGCCTCAGGAGAAACCAGCCCTACTAACACTTTGATGTCAGATTTGTAGCCTCCAGAACTATGAGAAAATAAATTTCTGCCACTTAAACACTCCACTCTGCAGTATTTGTTATGGCACCCGTAGCAAGTTAATGCACGCACACCCTCATCTCTTGTATGCTCTACACAGATGTCAAGCTTTTAGGTAGAGCAAATTCACTAATTTCCCAAAGCTCCTCCCTCTCGATGACAAAATATTCTGAATGCTGAACACCTTGTAAGGCTTCATTTTAAGTAATCTTATACTGATTCCTATAGTATCAACACTAGAGTCATCAACTAAAAACACAGAAGTGACAAATGGCGCACTTAAGCAATGTGCTCTGTGCAGAGCAACTAGAGAGACATTCAACGGATTCAAAAGCAGAGTACTCAATGGAGTATTACCCTCCTTCCACCCCCAACCAAAAAAAAGATAAGAAGAAAAGGGCATATATTGTTTTATATGGCCGTAGTAATCGGGAAGAAAGTAGAAGAATTAGCTGGGGGTGGGGAGTCAGGGAGAGTTGTGCAGGGATCCTAGGGGAAAAGCAGGTCATAGTAATTTGAGATGATTTTAACAAGACAAGCTTTCTTCCATATTCAGACAGTGAAGGGCTGGTTAGCTGCTCAGGCAGGGCATCGTGATACTGAATATTTTATAGGATCATGGTCCATCAGCCCTGCACTAGGGACTAATTAGGCCTGATACACAAATTGTAATCTATTTACTATTTCTGCTTAAATCATGAGAATTTAAATACCAGTCTCTCAGAGTCCACATTGTTCTGTTATGGTCTCTGCCTTTGATTACTTCAACTGAGAAGATAATTAGCATGGATCAAGCCAATCACAAGCTCTATGAGCTACCACCTCAGTATTACTGGTTTAATTTTGGATAAAACTTTCTAATGATCTGACACAAAGAAAAGAGCAAATTTAGAACAGAAAACCCGAAGGCTTAAAGGGCTGATGTTCCATTAGGAACTCCTTAGCCTGAGTTGCAAGCTTCCATTTTCCCTTCCTAGCTCCAGATTCTTTTTTTGCACCTTTCCATGTTTCTATTAGACTAGACCCCAGAAGCATCGGTGGAACAGAGGAAGTGTTCCCATTTCCAATTCACTTTTAATTATAGAAAACAGTTGGCAAAATATCAAAGCCCCATGTACAATTTCTTCTGGCTCCACTGGGAGCACAGGGGTTTACCAAGGGGAGAGAATAACAGAGAAAAACAATAAAGTTTGAGAATTACGACGATGTAGAAAAGGAAAGAAAAGATGAAACAAAGGCAGAAAATGATGACAAATTTACATCTTCCAGCTGGCACACTACCTTGGCTCAAAAGCAAAAATGTGCATTATAATTTCAGGCGGCTACAGTTTTCACAGGGTTTAACCTGAGTCACATTTTGACCTCTACAGTTTCTATAATTGGAAAAGGATTTTATTATCTAAAAGGGAAGAAAATGAAGGCAATGAGAGGGAAGGAGGGAAAACAACAAAGTTCTCTGCTCTGGCAGACATTCGTCACCCACAATGTTCAACCTCACACAGCAGTCATTTTAGGAGGTGTATTCTGAAGAGAAGAGCAATTACCCCTGAAATAGGCCAACATGTTCATTTGTTTAAAGGGGTCAAAAAGAAAGGGATGAATCTGAACTATAAGGAAGCTTGTAATAGAGTTATTTTCGATTGCTTTTTCCTCATCTAGTTTTCTTTTGACATTTTAGACCATTAGGACACCTTGAACTAGCTCTAGGGGAAAAGGGGGAGAGAGGAAAAAGAAAATAATAAAGCCTCTTGGTACAGACTATGTTTGAAGTTTCGTTCCTCAAACATGTGAACTTGTGCAGGCAATACAGCAAGGGAGACATGGGAATGATAAAGAAGGATGAGATGTGAAGGAAACAACAGAAGAGAATACTCCAAGTGGAAAGGATGGGTAGTAGGAAGAGAGAGAAGAGAATTAGTGGGCATGAACCTAATAATGGAGTTTGCCCTTCCACAGGAGGACCACCTTCCCAAAATGTAGGAAATAAGTCTCTACAGTGCAAACAGAAAATTTGCTCTTACTAGCAATAGAAAGATACAAAAAGAATAAGAACCTATCAAGGACACCTAAACACGCAGAGTTTCAAAGCCCGCTGAGAAGCGAGGCAGTGTGAAGCCGCAGCCAGTACAGACCCGGATTCCAGTCCTGCGGCTACAGGAGCTTGGCAGGCCTCCTGAGCGTTCTCCGCCTTCTTTGTGAACTAAAGGATGGGTGGATGGTATGATCACCAGGGCTGCTGCTTTCTTTGAAGGTATTATGGTTCTAAAACATAGAATTTTACTTTTTAAAACCAAACCTGACTCAAACAAGTAGTCACTGACTATTTAAACTCTGAGTATATACCCTACATTTTAAACCATCCTCACAAAGCCTACTTGACACCACAAAAAAAAAAAAAGAAAAAAAAAAGGAGGAAACAGAAAACAAGAGCTAGAGAAAAACAACGTAAGGAGTATTGAAAGGCCCCAATAGTGGCCCAAGATGAACTTCTGACAGGAACTCCAATAATTCTTGCTGCTGAAATAGCGCTGGCACTCACTGTCATTGTATCACATGACACTGTCCACTGTGTCTTTAAACCAAACTGGTATTTTCATAATATAGAGGGGTATGCCATTAACACAAGAGACAAAATAAAAGCAAATGACAGTAAAATATTTGTGCAGCATGTTGTACTTTATAAAGTCATTGAACTGTCATTACATCTGTAGTGCTTTATGAGAAAAACATAAATAATTTGTTAAACGTTTGTGAGCACCTACTATGTAAGAGACCTTCATTCATTCCGGGTGCTTTCTGTGCATCATGTCTTTCAATCCTCAAAACAACTCCGTGAATAGCTAATACTACTGCTCCCATTTTATAAATGAGGAAACAGTCTAAGAGCCATCAAGTCACCTGTCCAATGTCGCAGAGCTAGTTGGCAATACAGCTAGAAGTTAGATCTCCAGTCCCAGCTTGGTGGTCCGGGGTAGACATAAGGTCCCCTATAGAGACTGCGACTTTGACTTTCCATTCCTCTTGGAGGTCGATACACTGCAGTCTTCATCTAGCCACACATCAAAAGACATTTGTTCTATCAATGTTTTGTCAGACCCTTCTTTCATTTAAAGCAGTATTTCTTAAGTGTTGCTCTGCACTGAGCACTGTACTAAGAGACATGTGATCCCTACCTTCTAGAATGTTAAATTCTAAGTGGAGAAAAGAGGAATAAATGAGAATGAAAAGCAACTGTCCAACAGTTAAGTAATGAGAGAGCAACATAGTGCAATATGTGGCTCATTTCTTTCTTTTTCTTTTTTTTTTTTTTTTTTTGAGACACAGTCTCCCTCTTGTCACCCAGGCTGGAGTGCAATGGCATGATCTCGGCTCACTACAACCTCCACCTTCCAGGTTCAAGCAATTCTCCTGCCTCAGCCTCCCAAGTAGCTGGGATTACAGGCACCGGCCAATAAGCGGCTCATTCCTAAATAAGTACACAGAATACAGGGCCATAGCAGAAAAAATCAATCCAAAGGAAAAAAATGTGTAGATGCCTCTGTGAGCCATGGAGACCATATTACAGGAAAAGCAGAGGCAAACATCAGCTCCAGCCCGCAAGGGCATGCTTATAACATTGGAAACCCTAAAGTGGTGGGTGGCAGGGCAGGAGCAAGGTCTGCAGAGTGTAAGGCTATATACACTCTAGCCACTCTGCAAATTCCATAAACAAAAGATTGCAGGGAAAGCCGGGCACAGTGGTGCATCTCCACATCAGCCTCTGCAACTGGGACTCCCTGGAATATGAGATTCTCAGCTTACTCATTTTCATATATTCACTGCCAATACTAGGCCCAGAACATGGTAGGGGCTCGATAAATACTTGTTGAATACAAAATAAAGTTCATAGAAAATATGCCAACTGCCAACATTGGCATTTACAGACCTAGTACAATGCTTAATACATAGCAGATACTCAATAAATATTTGCTGACATGATTATATTGCTGGTAGAATTTTAAATCTGTACTTAAGATAAAGCTGTGAAGAAATGCCCATTTAAATAAAACCAGCAATAAATAGTAATATTTTATCAATGTTTACATAATACATTTTACTTTTTCAGAGTTTATCCTTTAACTCATCTCTTGAGCTAGAAAAGTCGAATATACACTATCTTAATAAATCAGTCCTGTATTGAGTTATCTTAAGTGCTGTAGAAAGATCTCACTTCTTTCTGTAAGGCTGTTTTGTAATATATACACAAATTAGAATTATGTTTTTAAAGAAAAGCGTTCAAATATGACAATATACTATCTGTGTTTTCACCATTCAAAGTGTTGTTTGGTAGTTGAAACTTAAACTACTACTACTTTATTAAAAGTCATTTAATTAAGTGACCAAAATGTGTTGTGCTCTTTATTGCATTTTCACAGCTTTAAAATCTATGCACATACCGTTTCATAGAAAATGAGTAGTTTTTATTGACCTAGATAACGGTAGTTCTTTTGCACATTTAGTGATCTAATATTGGGGAGGTCAAGAAGTTTGGTTACTGAATTTGTTAGATACTAAGTCCTGTAAAAGGAGATCTCTAACCTCAAAAAGAATGTACATACCAGGAAAAAAAAAAAATCTTTACAATAGCACCGTGAGGTAGGTGTTATGAAAATTCTGCTAATTTGACTGGATATGATTTTCATGGAATTCATTGTGCTTTATACTTACATGTGAGGTGTCACAAGAGTGGCAGTAGCCTGTGATATCTGGTGAGTACAGAAGCAGTGGGTGTTAAAGGGACTAGCGAGAAAGAGGGTAAGATTACAATGGAAACAAAAATTAGCAATGACTATAAAATATGAACATGTAAGAAAATGACGAATGTGCTATGGCATATGCAGAAGAAGAAACGCTCATATCTTTCGGGGAAGGACTCCTGCAGCATGGGGAAGCACTGTGTTTATGGAACCCTCAGTAACTGGCAAGAGACAGGGAAGTGATTAATGATACGGAAAACGTTTTGAGTGCAGGCTGGAGGATTACCATCAATGGCGCATGATTCTTAACTCGACGTCACTTTAGGAAAATGCAGGGGATGGAGAACTTAAAGCTAAGTATGATCGAAATGCTGCTAGAAAGTTACCGCAAGACTTACTTAATTCTGCACAGCAACAATTATGGTAGCTGCATCTGGTAAGGATTCTCATCTCTTATAGAGATGGGGGCAACAAATTTTCAGGGAAGAAAACACAAAATGAAAACATAAAAATGACTCAATTTTTTAAATGGGCAAAAGATTTGGACAAACCCTTCACAAGAGAAGATACACAAATAGCCATCAAAAACATGAATATAGGCTCAACATCATGAGTCAACAGAGAAATGCAAAACAAAAACACAGTAAGTGCCATCACATAACTACTAGAATCGCTAAAGAGAACCAACAATATAAAATGTTGCTGAGGGTATGGAGAAGATGGAACTCTCCTTGTATTCCTTATCTATTGATGTGTAAACAAATTATCCCCAAACTTTGAAGCTTAAAACAACAAACATTAATTATCTCACACAGTTTCTGATGCTCAGGAATCCAAGAGCAGTTTACTTGAGTAGCTTTCCAGGTCTCTCTTGAGGTTGCAATTAAGAGGTCCCCTGAGGCTGCAGGCATCTGGAGGTATAACTGGTTGGATATCTGCTTCCAAGCTCACTCACATAGCTGTGAGTAGGCAGTACCAGTTTCTCACTGGCTGTTGGCCAGAGGTCTCAGTTCCTCACTATGTGGGTCTCTGCATAAGGCTGCTCACAATACAGCACCTGGCTTCCCCAACAAAGCAAATGATTCAAGAGAGCATAAATAACCAACCAAGATGAAAGCTAAAGTGTATTTTACAACCTAAGCTCAGAAGTGATGTACCACCTCTTTTGCTATACTCTACTGATCACACAAACCCATGCTGACAAAATATGGGAAGAGACTGTATTACTGGCACAAGCCCAAGGAAGCAGCGATCACTGGGGGCCATCTTGCAGGCTGGTGGGAATACAAAATGGTACAGTTGCTTTAAAAAATACTATTAACAATATTTTAGAAAAGTAAATATACAGCCCTATATGACCCTTCACTCCCAGTTCTAAGTATTGAAACAAGAGAAATGAACACATTATGCAGACAAAGATGTGTCCATGAATGCTCACAGCAGCATTAATACACAACAGCCCCAAACTGGAAGCAATCCAAACGTCCATCAGCTGATTAATGGATAAACAAACTGTGATATATCTACACAATAGAATGCTACTTAGCAATTACAAAGAACAAAATATTAATACATGCAACATGGATGAACCTCAGAAATACTTTGTAAAGTTAAAGAAAGCAAACACAAACATCTAAGTATTATCCAAGTCCATATATATGACATTCTAGAAAAGGCAAACCATAATGACAAAAGAAAATCAGTGATTGCTTGGGTTTGGGGATGAAGAGAAAGGTCAACCGAAAGGGCCACAAGGAGGCTTTTTAGGGTGAGAGAACTCTCTGTATCTTGATATTGTGCCTACGCGACTCTATATACTTACTGAAGTTCATCAAATTGCACATGAAATGAAAGACTTTTATTTTACGTAAATAATACCGTAATAAAAAATATTATTATGTGCATGGCATTATATGCTTTTCAACTTCAAAGAAAACTATGGCAATTTATTACAATTTTATAAAATTTTCATAACCTATTTATTCCAACGTAAGTTCACTATACATAAAATGCAAAAACTTTCTATAATAATAACCAGCAATTAATAATCAAAAATCAAATTCAAAAGAGACTAGTGACTGGTAGGCCTATCTGAAGACTAATATGCCTGTACAGGAAAGAGTGATAAAGCCCAGAACTGAAGTAATGGCGTCGTGCGTAGAGAGAAGGAAAGAGATGGAAGCATATTACAAGGGTTGAACTGACTGAATTTGTCAACTGACTGGAGATGAAAGAGAATCAAAGGAGAAATTCAAATGTCATGATAACATTGAAACATCAAATGTCACCTTCCCAGTGAGGCATCTGATGATTGTCTTATTTTATTTTATTTTTTGAGATGGAGTTTCATTCTGTCACCCAGGCTGGAGTGCAGTGGTGCCATCTCAGCTCACTGCAACCTCTGCCTCCCAGGTTCAAGTGATTCCAGTTCCTCAGCCTCCCAAGTAGCTGGGCCTACAGGCGTGCACCATCACGCCTGGCTATTTTTTGTACTTTTAGCAGAGACGGCGTTTCACTATGTTGGCCATGCTAGTCTCAAACTCCTGATCTCAAGTGATCCGTCCACCTCAGCCTCCCAAAGTGCTCAGATTATAGGTGTGAGCCACCGCACCCAGCCTGACTGTCCTATTTTAAACTGAAATACCCCTGCCCCCACTCCCACACTCAGAATTTCCTATTCTCCTTCCCTGATTCATTTTCACTCTATCATTTATGACCTGATGACACTAGATATATAATTTACTCATTTTCCTTGTGGATTGCCTACCCCCACCATACTGTAAGCTCCAGAAAGGTAGAATTTTGGCCTGTTTTATTCACTGCTATAGACCCAGTGCCTAGAAATGTACCTGGGACACAGTAAGAGCACAATAAATATTTACTACATGAATTGACTGAAAACATTAAAAGAAATCCGAACACCTGAAAAAGAAACAGGCATGTACATGTGTGTGTCTGAGGAAAGCAGGAAGAAATGATGGATTCAGATTTAGATATGCGGAGTATGAAGTATTTAAAAGCCAAATAAAAGCCAGAGACTGAAAGAGAAGTTAGGTGGGTGATTTTACCAAAGATAATGGCTGAAGTTCTGCAAAGACACGAGATTTCTAAGAGGCACCTCAAATTCAACAAGTCCCAACTAAACTCTTATGCTCCATTAAACCCATTCTCTTTCACAAAAGAGATCTACAGCAAATAAACAAAAATCTACAATATTTTCTTCAGCACTGTACTGTAAAATTATTCATTTGAGCATGAACAGGTGAATATGAACACATTGTAATGATGACTTCATATATGGCCAAATATTAGTACAGAGCAAATAATTCTGTCCATGGAATCAAATATAAGTACATTAGATTAGAAATATTTAGGCAGTGCAATAGTAGATATTGACCCTACTAAATCCTTCAGCTCTGATAGAACTGGTGGAAGCCTGAGTACTTCATATATATAGAACCAGTGAAAAAGTTCTCCACAAGGAACAGAATTACAATCTGACTAACGATAGCCTTTTGAACATTATCACTAATGTATGTCTGTACTTTTTTCCTTGAAGTTTGAGCATTCCAATCACTACTGTTAGGGGAAAGTTGGGATCAAGTTAGGGAAGATTCAGAGAGACAGAGGTAAAAAAGGGTCTAGGCTTAACACGAAAGCAAAAGATGAACTCCAGGGCACAGGAGAAAACACATTTATCCAAGGACACAGCTGATCATAACATCTACTTTCTGATGAAGAGTAAAATCCAAAAGAAATAATCTTCAAGCAAAGAACACTGCTTCAAGGAGAGAATATTCTCCAGAATAAGCCCCAGAGTCCAGCTTCCATGCCCCTACAACACAGGATAATATGGAAGTCAGTCTGCTCATCAATGCTTACTGAGCCTTTCCACATGCCACACACATGGAGCATGTGTCCTCATGGAGACCAGGTGACGTAAGCAAGTAAAGCCACTGAGGGGTCTGATGACTGCAGGATCTAAAAAAACCACGGTATGTCAATGACCAAAGGTCTTTGGAGCAGTCTGGTCAAACCATTCATTTTCCAGAGGAGGCCCTGAGTATTAAAGCCACGTACCTACATCAGATGTCAGTGAGTGCAGAGACAAAAAGAGAACCCATGCGTGTTGGGGAGACCACAGAATCTGCCCTCAGACCAGCTAGGGTTGAATCTGGCTCTGCCACTGACTGAAACGTGCGACTTCAGGCAAATTATCTTCTCTAGGCCTCCACTCTGTAATGGGTAACATGGGAATAGCAACGATAGTGCCAAATACACACGGCTGTTGTAGGTATTAAACATAAAAACATATCATTGAGGTATGTTTTTGACCTTGGTACCTGCCACATGGTTGCTGAGTGCACACTATATGTTAGGAATTGTAGTGCTGGTTGGTTCTATTATCACTTTGATTCTGTTTTTGTCAGTGGTCATTGGAGACTGGTTCTCCCTAACTCTGCTTCAGGATGTACAGTCATGGGGTTATGGAGTTTAGCTCGCCTCCACAAGCCTGTCAGTGCAGACAGCTTCTTCCTACAACGTTGGCACCCAGGTAGGTGCACCAGAGGCTGTGTGATGAACCCGGAGGTCCAGGGAAACAGCACAACACCTGGATGTGGAAACTGAAAGACAAACAAATGAAAAACCTTCTCTGTATAAGCAATGTTATATCAGCTGAGTGTTATCTTTTTATGCATACCTTACTTTGAGATTTATTTGAAAGAATCATCAATACCCCTGGACATGAGCAGCCAATATCCAACCAGCTTCATTTCTGTCAGTGACGGTGCCCTTCTAGGATTCTGTGTGATGTTCACGGCACAAAAAATCTGATGAATGAGTAGGTAAATCAAACAATTCAACTGATCAAAGATTCATTTGAGATTGCTAATAATACTGCCATTATCATATTAGCTTTTAAAAACCATGATCTCTCTTCACAGAAGACAGAGGTAGATCATTTTGCTTGGAAGGACAGAAGGATTAACTCCTTGTGGCCTGTGCATGCATTCCCATGATGGAAACGTGGCTGACAGCTGACCACGGGGGATGAAGGAAAGCAATGCAAAGCTTAAGTCCACACCTCAACATGCTGACCTCCTGGCATCACATTTGGCTCATTAACAATATATTTTAAAAGTCCTGTTGTTCAGCAACAAAATATACTAGTATTGAAAGAGAAGCTTATCAATACAGCACTGGCTATCCCTCCTCACAAGCAAAGGGAAAGCAATCATTTACTCAGAAGTTCTGACGGTGGAGACTTCTCCCCTGTGAGATAACTTTTATCTCTAACCCCACCACTAAGCTGAACAAAGATTTACCACAAATTTTTCATGAAATTACCACAGAGTGAGAACTCACCTGAATAGAAGGCTAAAATAAAAACAAGTCATAACAAGAACAGACCTGTTCTGCGTGGAAACAGGGTTTGGGGCTCAGGGAAACACTTCCCTTTCTCTGGTCAACTACTGAGACTAAAACCAAAACCTCATCTCTGACTTCCCAGGTGTCCTGTAGTGAGGATGATAATCCCTTTTCCAAATATAAAAATATATAATATATAAAAAGTTAAGCTTTACTAAAATGAGTAGTAACAGAAATGCATCTGTTTCTCTATTAATAGCTAACATTTACTGAGTGTGAATGGCCCTGTGCTAAGCACTTTATATTCATTAAATCCTTGCCATATCCTTGAGAGAGGTAATGCTATAATTTCCACGTTATAGTTGCAGGGAAAAGAAGTTCAGAAATAATGAATAACTAGTCTAAGTCCCCAAGGTTAGCAGTGGCAAAGTTGGATTCCACCTAATTCTGGAGCAGGGCTGCCCGACGGAACTTCCTGAGTGCGGGAAATGTTCTGTGTCTGTGCAGCCCAGTTCAGTAGGCACCAGCCACATGTGGCTAGTGGGCACTTGGAATGTGGCCAGCCAAGGAACTGAAATCTCAGTGGTACCGAATTCTAATTCATTTGGATGTACACAGCCATGTGCGGCTCATGGCCACCCTGCAGGACAGGGCACTCTAGAGCAGGAGTTGACAAACCGAAGCTGCAGGTCAAATGTGTCCAGTAGCTTGTTTTGGATGGTCTTGAGCAAAAAAATGTTTTTTACATTTGTTAAAAGATCTAAAAAAAGACAAAGATACAACAGAGACAGTATAAAGCCTACGAAGCCTAAAGTATTTACTATCAGGCTCTTTACAGAGAAAGTCTGCGGCCCCCGGCCTGAGAGCTATACTCTTAGCCCCACAGTCACTGCCCCCCAGGAAAAAGGATTTCAAGCCCAGTCCCCCCCACTTTAAATCTTAACAGTATGAAGACAACGTTAAGAACTGCATCATGTGAGAAGTTTCCTATTTCCCATTAGAGTATTTAAGGGATCAAGCAAGCCTAAGAGAAGGCAAAAAATGCTGACCAAGGTATGCCCTCATTAAGTTTTGTACAGTCAGCCTCCAAAACAACACTTAACATTTACAAACTGCATTTGCATTCATTATCTCATGTCTTATTTAAAACAATCTCATGAGCAAAGTATGCCCATTTTACAAAGGAGAAAAGTGAGACACCACACTCAATGCTACATCAAAGGAGAGGCAGCTCCGAGTCCACTGACTTGGCCATGAAACAAAATTTCTGTAGAAGCTGAAAAAAATGGTGCATGTACCAGGGTCACAGGAGTAGCCAATAAGTTCAACTAATTCAAGCAGAATAGCTAAGGCCATGGGCTTTCTCCCTCTTTGGGAGGAAGAGCCTCTCTCCTCTCCACCAACTGAGTGCCCAGGGAGGGCTCCTCCGGGGCCTCTTCAGGTCTCCAGAACACCCACAGTGTCTAATCTGGCTTTTTCACAGGGGTTCCTGAAAACTAGCACAAACACAGCCCCAGGAGTCCAGGCCCCCTCAGAGAGGTGAACAGCTGTGCCCCCGTCTGCCTGGCCTTCAGCTGCACGCACTAAGGATACCATTCTCTCAGCAACAACAGAGTCCCTTTGGAAACTCACTGTGCCCTTCAATCCAGCTAGGAGGTTTCTCTCTGACACACCCTCCAGGCCACTCCTGTGATTCCTGGGATGTGAGGACCTTCTGGGGCTTGCAGAGTAAAGCAAACTATCCTTTTCTTTTTCACCCTGGGACCACTGACTGTCCCCAGGTTTCCCAGAGGTTACACGTGAGACTTCAGTATTTTGTATCTTTTCCTTATGCTCTAAACTTCACTGTCCAATAAAGCAGTCAGTGGCTATTTCAGTTTATACTAATTAAAACTAAGTAATCTTAAAACGCAGTTCCTCAGTTACACTCAATTGGAACTCAAGTTCACCAGTCACATGTGGTTAGTGGCTACCATACTGGACAGCACAGATATGGAACATTCCCATCATCACTGCAAGCTCTAATGGACTGTGTTGCCACCTAAAACCTAATATTCACACGATTCTGATTAGACGCAAATACATGATGAGGAAGATCATGATTTCCTTCTAACTTCTGATTGGTAATGCACCAATGCCACATAACCATTACCAGATAATTCCTTCACAGCATAATGAATTCAACTCAACCATTATGATTACTTTTGGAACACTGCCTTCTGTATGTCCCCCTTGGCCCATCCAGAAATAATGGAATCACTTATTTATGTGTTTGCCTGAACGTTTTTCACTTTTGTTTTTGTTTACTTTTAGAGACAGGGTCTCACTCATTCTGTTGCCCAGGGTGGAGTGCAGTGGCATGATTCTAGCTCACTGCAGCCTCAAACTCCTGGGTTCAAGCAATCCTCTAGCCTCAGCCTCCTCAGTAGCTATTGCCTGTAAGTTTTACTGGGCATTTCAAACTTCCAAGTCTCCTTTTTCCCCTGGAGTATTCTGGTGTTGGTGGCAGGCCCTGAATCCGTTCAAATTACTCCATGAACCACTTCAGGCTTAGAAATGCATGTACAGCTATACCTTCTATCCACAAGCTCTGGTTGTCTTTGTCTTAATGCCCCCCCTCACCTGCTCATCCTCTTCTTCATCTCCATCTCTTGGGCTACCTTTGTTGAGCCAGTTTTATACCATATTCTAAGTCTCCTTAACACAAGCTTTATTTATTCATTTTTATTATTTATTTATTTATTTATTTTTTGAGACAGAGTCTCACTCTGTCACCCAGGCTGGAGTACAATGACTCAATTTTGGCTCACTGCAACCTCTGCCTCCTGGGTTCAGGCAATGCTCTTGCCTCAGCTTCCTGAGTAGCTGGGACTACAGGTATGTACAATCAAGCTTGGTTAATTTTTGTATTTTTAGTAAGACAGGGTTTTGTCATGTTGGCCAGGCTGATCTTGACCTCGTGACCTCAGGTGACCCGCCTGCCTTGGCCTGGGATTATAGCCATGAGCCACCAGGCCTGGCCTAATATAAGCTTTAAGTTAGTACTGTGAAAAAAAGTCAATACTGAATTACTTTGGGTTGCTCCAAAAGCAGAGCCAAAGACAAGGACTTTGTTGTAGGTGGGTCTTTTGGGAATTGATCACATAAAGATAGAGTGCAGGAGCAGGGGGAGTGATAAAAGGAGAAAAGCTACGATAAAGGTGTGTTTTGAGATTGCTACTGTGAGCAATAGTATCCACTGCACTGAATACTTTTAGAAATTGTCAGCTTGAAGGAGAACCCAGCAGTTTGGGGTATCTATCCACCAGCTCCCATCCCTCCTTATTTGAGGGCTGCCATTCCATAATGCTCTTGTACATGGACCCAAGGAGTGCCTACAGAGCTGGAGAAGTCCCAGGCAGAGGTGGATAGATGTGCGTATGGCTCCTTGTGGGCCCTGGCAGCAGTGGTCAGTCAGAGCTCCAGCAATTCCTTCCAATGCAGCTGTGGCAGAAACCAGAGCTGGGTCATGAGGAGGAAACACAGGTACACCCAAGGCAGGCTTCTTTACAAATGAGAACATGCACGATTTTCCCAACTGTAATTTCTGGAAAGTGCTGACTCTGAACTTTCCTAGCTAATCCATCATTGTCCTTTAGGACTCAGCCCAGTGGCCCCCTCCTTGAAGCTTTTCCTACCCAGCCCCACGTCAACTGAGCTGAGGTTTTTTTCTCTGTGCTTCCCCAGCACCTTGCAGTGCTCATCACAGTGATTTTCAAATGGGTGCTGCTCTGTCTGTCTCCACTAGACTCTCACCTCCCTGGGGATAAGGGTGTCCTTCACTTCCAGGAAGCTTGTACCTAGCACACCACCTGGCATTCGAGTGTTCAATACCTGGAGGAAGCAAAGAAGGACAAGAGCATCCCTAGAAATCCACTAAGAGGTCAGGATTCCAAGTCTCTCTCCATGTTTATGCTCTCCATTAATGAACCTCAGGAAAAAGGGCCCACTCTCAAAAACATTAAGTGGGCATTTGTAGAGTTCCGCATGCCTCACCTTACTTCATTTAATCCAGCAACAGTCCTGGTCAGTTAAACCATATTGCATCAAATCAGAGATAATAAGATGCTGTGTAATTTACCACTAGAAAAAAATAATTCTGCCAAAATAATTGAAAGATAATATGGATTGTACTGATATCAAATACTGATACCAGAAATATAAAAATGTGAGGAGGGATTGTGCTTCCTAGACTTTTTGAAATGTGGCATTTATTTATTTTCCATCTGATTCAAAAAAAAAAAGATGTAAGCTGGCAATCCTATGAGATAGATATTACCATTTACTTATCCAATAAAAACCTGAGGTTTCTAAGAAAGAGGAAGCATGTTTCCTCGGCTTCTTTCCTCTCCGTTTCATGAGACCCAGTCCCCACTCTGGTACGACCTTCCTTCAAGAAAGCCTCTGATGAACCGATTCATGCTGAGAAGGAACTTACGAGGACAGTCCTCAAGCATATCCACAGATACTTAGGGAGGAGCAAGAAGCCATCCTAAGAGCTGCGTCTCCACGTGTGAAAATACAGCATCACAGAGCAGACCACGAGAGTGGATCTGGAAGCAAGGGGGGTCTTTTTAACAGCCTGCCATTCCAATCCGCCTAAGTATCCCTGTCAGAATGCATGCTGACACCCCAAATTCCCAGGGAAAGGCTGGATAAGCTCAAACGACCAGTGAGAAATTTAAAAGGAAATTCTCTTGAAGCTGTGCATGCCAAATGCAAGCAATAAATAAATAGGACTGTGACTCTAAAGGACAAGGGCCTCGGGATAGAAAATGGCATCAAATTGTTGTTTTCTTTCAAAGAGTCAACTTAATGGGCACAGATTCTAGACTACTTGTAACAAATGGCTGGAGACAGCTTCTCCCCTTCCCAAGTCTAAGAACAATGAACTGAGGCAGATCCAGAAAAACGACAAAAGAAAAGAAACTGTGGTAGTAATTACAACTTGCCCTGTGTCCAATGGACAGCTTGCAATGTGCCCCATGTCTTCACTCTCCCTTCACAACACCATGGGCAGCCTTAACTAGCTAATAAGTAGGTGGCTGTGGCTAAAAGCTTTGCAGTGCTTTACACATCCCCTCCCCCTTCCCTGCCTATTAACACGTCCGCCTGGCACTGTGTCCACATTTCCATGTGGTGTGCCTGGGCAGGAACACACGGAGGGCTCCCCTGGGCTCTGGAGGCAGGTGGTACCCGTTCTGAACCGAGACGAGAAGATGCTTGTGCCAGAATATTTCTCTTTCCAGCGGGGAGAGACAGGGAGTTGAAAGGGAGGTGTAAGACGTGCATAAAGGACTCACTGCCTTTTCCTGCTGCCAGTGAACACTGTGCTGCAGGCTAACTGCAAAGACTGTTTTAAAGAGTGCTTTCATTTTTAATTTTGCAAAATGGCTTCGACCAACAGACTAGCACATGCACAAATGCACGTATGCGTGTGCACATACACACACTCATACACACTCGATGTTGTTTTCATTTTTAGTCTTCTATAGATCCTGCAGAATCCTGCTTTAAAGAGACATCCATTATGACACTATAAATTCACCATGCAGTTAAACCTAGGAGGAAGGAGGAAGGATAAAAGATTGCAGGCAACTCAGTCAGAAAAGAAGCCACCTATTTGGTAGCTTTGCTTTAAGTGACAGTGGTAGCAGAAGTTTTTATTTGAGGGAAGGGGACAGAGTGGCAGAGAGGCAAGAAGGAGATAGCAAAGGGCAGGACTTACTCCAGATCTTTGACAATTTCCCAAAATGTGCTTGAAACCGTCATTCTTACCTCAAAGAGTTTATCCAAAAGTCACATGTCTCAACCTATCTCAACTTGCAGTTAGAATATTTGCACTTAACTTACTAAAACAGGTATGCCATTAGGTAATCTTTGAATTTTAGTATATCTCAGGTCAGGAAGAGAAAAGAAACACCGGATACAATAAACCAGATGCGTTCTGCGCCATGTTCTTACTTTTTTTGAGCTGTATATGTACTTCTATAATATTGCCTGCATTTTTCAACAGCCTTATTATAAGTTAACTCATATTGAATCTGTGACAAATTACATCCTCCACTTCTTTCCACTCTGGAGTTGTGCAATTAATTTTTTAAACCTAATTTGAAGGCTTCATATTTAACTTTACTATTTTTCACCCTGTTATTTCTGGCGCATCCGTTTAGACGATCATGATTTTCTTGACTCAAGATCAAGTCACTAATCACATTAGCTATCCTCCCAGCCTTGCGTCAACTGCCAGTTTGATAAACATGTCTTCATCAAAGTCGTTGATAAAAATCGTGAACCAGACAGTTCTGAGGACAGGGCTCTGCATCACCCCAACTAGAAATATTCCTCCAGGTTAACACTAAGCCAATAATCTACTCTTTGGAAAGATCTGTGCAGACACAGACATGACAGAAGGGGGCCGTAGGTCCCTAACTCTTCCAATGGTCCTGCCCTTCTCCTTCTCCTGAGGAGCAGAGGGTTGTGCTAGAACAGGGTGCATCAATATAGCTAGCTGGTATCTCCCTGAGACTGGTATATTCAGGTGTGGCTGTGTGGGTTTTGGCTTAACTGCTTTAAAGTTGTTACCTAACCATACAATTAAGTTGTAATGTGGAGTTAATAAAATAATTCAAACCAGAATGATTTTTTTAAATCGCTGTGGAATTTTATATACACGATACCGCCTGAACTGGGTCACTGCACAGGGCTTTAGCAATTGCTTTATTATGCAGAGATTTGAGCTGTAACAGCATTTGTTATAAGAAGTTATAACTTCTGTGGATATATAATGTAAAAGTAGAAGTTATGGATCAGAAAGATGACAAAATTTAAAAGATAAACAACTGTGTATTAGAAATGCTTTTATCCTGCTGGGAGTTAAAACTAGATGACTATCTGGAGACTTTGCTGTCCTGGGTTTTCAAGAAAAGACTGTCCCCTGGTCAAACGCATGAACACTAAAGCAAAGTAGAACTCAATTCCTGCTTCAGCCTCCTAAAATGCACTCTATGTCATGTTGCCTCTCCCACTGTGGTATCTCCTGGAATGGAATATGACATTTTGAATACAATGAGTAGAATCTAACAATGCCAACAAGAAAGAGGGCACACACCCAACACATTTTGTAGGCAGCATGTTAAATGTTGTAACCCCAAGGAGGGTTTCCCTAAAAAAGGGATGACAAGTGAAAAGACCGTACACAGAGAACCAACTGTGCTCAGATGGCCAGACCCTTAACCTAAGCAAAAGTGACTACAGGCTGATACGCATTGCAAGTATGTCCAGGATACAGATTCACGGGTTCACCCCGATGGAATTCCCAGAAGCCATAATTTTACTACATAACAAACAAACTAATTGCTTTTACATACTAAAATAAATGTGAATATATGATGGTGTTTATAATTTGTATATTTTATAGTCAAGAAAAGATAGGGAGCTTCTAAAAATATTGGCACTTTCAGCAAGTATTTGGGGCTCTGTCTCACTCCCCTGCAGGCCTGAGCACTCTCTCCTTGGCTCAGAGGGAGAATAACGCAATCCTGGGAAGCCCTGCTTTGTGGCCACCAAGAGGGAATGAACAAACCACAACCATCTGGCCACTCATGGCAGCTCAGACTAGGTATACACAGCCCGAAGAGCACTAATTTGGGGGAAGCCAGGGAAGCACCCTGGACGAACCACCATTTTAATGGTGGTGCTGGTTGTTCCGCACTTGCAAGACAGGGGCACTCAGTCGATGTGAGAGAATCATGGTGGTTTGAACGCTTATCTTGCCTGGGCATCTGGACATGTATTCTATGTTCATTGGTAGCATAGACTGGGATGAACAGATGGGGAGCTCCAGCCAGGGTCTGGGAAACAGGAGGCTCATGCTCTACTCATGCTTCTGCCATGAGTTATTAAGGACACTTAACCTCTCTGTGCCTAAGCTTCCTGTTTCATAAAACGGAAATGATATTCCTGTCTATTCCCAAGATTAGCTGTCAGGATGAGATCAGATAGTAAGAAAATAATCTGTAAAAGCATCATACAAGTGAAAGATATATGATCACCACCTATCTGTCTGTACCATACTAGGATTTTATCTAGAATTGGAAAAAGCTACCAATAGACAGCCAGGTTAAATAGTAACTGGTCACAGGTTAGGCTAATGAAATTATCTGGAGCCCCTGTTACAGCCACATCAATCTGCGCTCTTTCAGTTGGATTCCACACATATTGACTGAGTGTCTTCGTGTGCCAGGTTAATACTGACATCACGTTTAATATGTGCCAAGCACTAAGTGTTTTATTGTATGTGTGTTGGTGGGGGCGGGTCATTGTTACTGGTTTGTTTTTTGTTTGTTTGTTTGTTTTCTGAGACAGGGTCTCGCTCTTTCACCCAGGCTGGAGTTCAGTGGTGCAATCATGGCTCACTGCAGCCTCGACCTCCTGGGCTCAAGTGATCCTCCCACCTCAGCCTCACAAGTAGCTGGGACTACAGGTACACACCACCACGCCCAGCTCATTTTTTTTATTTTTTGTAGAGATGAGGTCTCACTATCTTGCCCAGGCTGGTCTTCACCTCCTGGTCTCAAGCCATCCTCCCATCTTGGCCTCCCAAACTGCTGGGGCTACAGGCATGAGCCACCACACCCAGCCTTGCCTAAGTATTTGATATGGATTTATTTGCTTACTCCTCAAAAGATATCAGTTAATTACACACACAAAATTAATTAATTTACAATAATTTGTAAACTGAGGCCCAGAGACATTAAGTAATTTGCCCAAGGTCACCCAGCTAGTAAGACTGGATACAAACACAGGCAGTCTGACTTCAGAGCCAGTGTTCCTAATCACTATGTTATATGTCCTGGAGATGCCGCAGTGAGACAAGACAAGTGAAAACATTGTAGCATTCTCTAACTCAAGTCAACTAGGCCTTATAATAGTCACAATTGGCATTAATCAACCCTGTTCTCATGGGTCAAACAAATAAAAGTGGTATTTCAGGAAAGCAGGAAGTGTCGGCAGGAAGACAATAAGCTAGGGTAATGAGATAGGGAATACCTGAAGGAGGTCTGTTGTGAGCTGAGACACTGCTCAGAAACTAGTTCCTGGCTAATCTCTGACCATCTAAGTATTCTTAGAACTAGCTCTGTTTAGCCCTGTTAGACCCAAGGACAGTCAAGGTCTTTACTTGGTTTTGGTTTTGTTCTAATAAAGGAATTATACACAAATTATTATGATAGGCACATAAAACAGGGGCTCTGGCCACATAAATTGAATTGGACATGGAGTCTGCTTTTGAGTCAGGCATAATAACTAGGAAAGAGAAGTACCAATTGCCAGGCCTGATTATCTTTATAAAGAAAGAGGGATATTTTCTTCTGATTATAAAAGTAGTCTGTCTTCATTTCTACATTCTCAACTACCAGCTAGAGCTCCACACTGATGCCTAACTGGCACTTAATATCCTACACTTCCAAAATACACTTCCTTGTTTTCCAGTATTGCAACTGCTATTCCTCCTACATCCTATTCCTCCCAATAACCCCCTGGTGCAGCCTCAGGAGTTAAGCCCACCTCTCCCCATTTCCACTCTGGCCGCAGTTCCAAGTCCTGTTAGGTTTGTCACATCCCTTTTGTCTGGCCCTTCCCCACTGCACTGCAACAACCAAGGGGCAGGCTCTCAATACCTAGCTGTGAACTCCTCGGCATGGCAACGGCCTTCCATAAGCCCTCTCCAACCCCTCCCCATGATATTTTATAAAATATACAAGGGCAACATTAATCTCCCTCCCTCACTTCATTCTTTCATTTGTTCATCCCTCCCTCACTCCATTCATTCATTCATTCATTCATCCAATAACTATTTATTGGTCACCTACCGATACTCTTCACACAGTTCTAGGAGTTGTGAATTCAGTTAACAAGACAGGTAAGTTCCTGTCCAAATGAAGCTTCACTGATAGTAAGGAAGACAGGCAATAAACATGAGAATAAATAAACAGGATAATTCACCAACTGACAAATGCCATGAAGAAAATAAAGCAGAGTGATATAAAAGAAAACATCAATTAGTATGCTTCCCACTCAGGTAATAGAAAACACGACTCAAAGGGACTTGAGAAGGAGATAACATCTCACAAAACAAGAAGTCTAGGTGTGGGCATGTTCCATCCATATCCTGGTTCTCTCCCGTTCGCCGGGGGCTGCCTTCTTCTGAGTGTCAACTGTCCTTACTCAGCAGACCCAGACCTCACCTCCTGATCTTCAACTTGGAGGGAAGGAAGAGGCAACATCTCTTTAGTGACATTTTCTCAGAAGGGAAGACACTTTTCCCCCATCATGTCTCATTGGTCCCTCACTGGGTCACATGCCATGAATGAACCAATCACTGATAATAAGAGAATTACTATGATCAGGTTAGCCCCTGGCCAACGGATAGGCACACCTTCCCTGAGTTACAGAATGGCTAATGGAGCAAAATCATGGGAGAAAACAACATCAGGGGAGCAACGACCGGCATCCATGACAGCAAGCCACTTGAGACTGGGACACAGAGAGGGGAATTGGAGGTTGGGAGACAGGCAAAGAGTGGAAGAGGGACTCTCTGAGCTGCACCTGAGTAATGAGAAGGCGGCATCCATGCAAAGCCCTGGGGTAGGAGTATTTCAGCTACAGAGACCAGTAAGAGCAGAGACTCAGCTGGAAACAGTAAACAGTGTGACTACAGGAGTGAGGGAAGTAAAGAGGGGTCTATGATGTCCAAATAGGAGGCAGGTGCCCATGATGCAGAGCCTTGAAGGCCATGAGCTAGAGCCGAGATTCTACCTGAAGCTGCATGGGAAGTTTTTGGAGGACTGTGGTCAGGGGAGAGTCCTAGTCTGAAACGCACATGCTTCATGCAACGTCTTCTCATCTGTCCTCTTTTATTATCCCTCAACTCACTGACTATAAAAGGAAGTCTAAACTCCTTGGCTGAGCATTTAAGGTCCTCCGTAATCTGGCTCCAAAAGGCTCTTTCTACATCATACATTCAAATCAAGTTGTTTCTTTGTTATGTCCAAAGTAGTACTACGCCCACATTCTTGCACGTGCCTAAAATATACTTCTCTTCAAGCCTGCATATCCAACTCTTTTTGAGAACTGTCCAAGAAATCTAGTCTTTCAACCATTGGCTATGAGTGAATTGGGAACCTCTTCAAAGACTAAGTCAGATGCCACAAAACCTTCCCCAGTACCCACGGAGAAGTCATTTCTCCTATCTGCAAACAATCATATCCTTTCATTTAGTTTTCCTCTTGTGGTACTTGTCAATTTCCACCTTGTATATGGTTCTTCCTGTACACTGTCGTTCACCAAGTAACAATGTTTTGGTAAATGGCAGACTACTTATATATGACAGTGGTCCTGTAAGATGACAGTACTGGGCTGGGCACCGGCGTGGTGGCTCATGCCTGTAATCCCAGTACTTTGGGAGGCCGAGGTGGGTGGATCACGAGGTCAGGAGTTCAAGACCAGCCTGGCCAGCATGGTGAAATCCCATCTCTACTAAAAATACAAAAATTAGCTGGGCGTGGTGGCGGGTGCCTGTAATCCCAGCTACCCAGGAGGCTGAGGTAGAGAACTGCTTTAATCCAGGAGGAAGAGGTTGCAGTGAACAGAGATCATGCCACTGCACTCCAGCCGGGGCGACAGAGTGAGACTGTCTCAAAAAAAAAAAAAAAAACAGTACTGTATTTTTATTGTACCTTTTCTATGTTTAGATATGCTCAGATATACAAAAATGTACCGTCACATTACAATTGCCTACGGTATTCAGTAAAGTGCTGTACATGTTTGTAGCCTAGGAGCAACAGACCATACCATACAGCCTAGGTGTGTAGTAGGCTACACAATCTAGGTTTGTGTAAATACACTCTATGATGTTCACACAACGACAAAATTGCCTAACAACATGTTTCTCAGAATGCATCCCTGTTGTTAAGTGATGCATGACTGTATATCTTATCTCTACAACACACCTTCAGCATAAAATTTGGGACTGTGAGTCTCCCTGTGTCCCACCTTCATCTCCACTTCAAGTACCCGGTACACTGCCCAACATATGTCAATAATAAATAAATGAAATAATGCATTAATGAACAAACAAATGAACAAACCGTGCTGGCTGGCCCTGGTTACTGAAGCCCCAGCAGAAATTAATACATGTAGACAGCGGCATGTGCCATTGGAGATAACGGAAATGTGATGATGGCTCGAGAAGTATGCAGTCCTTTAGTTTGATGGGTATGAAGGACATTCATGAATGATGTGTTTTCCTGCCTTCACAGAACTGAAGGGCTGGTTATTGGGAGGCTACATGGAGAGCACAAATTTGGTAACAGGAGGGATCCTGAGGTTCCTAAATCATTCATGGATAGACTGGGTTTCTGGAGTGGTGTTCTAAAAACACAGTGATATCAGCAGCTAGGGATGCAAGGGTGTAAAGGTATCCAGCAGGGCGGCGTCCATTCTGTGTGGCCTGTGCACTGAGATCTTTGCTTATGCTGATTATTTTCTTTTTCTACTATATTGAAAGACACCGCTGCCTACATCACAAACAAATCTATCCTTATATGCCTGGGTAGATCAGGTAAAAATGCAAGTAACAAAGATAATCCAATTTAGCCTGCAAATAAAAAACTGAGTCTTCTACCAAATTCACCCTAAACAAGAACAATGGAATAACCCTCAGGAATGCTGTAAGAAGAAAAACAATGTATGTAAATATAATTCAATGTTTTCTAAAGCTTTAGATGCCCTCTCCTGAATCAGGAGCAGGGTATTCTTTTGTTTTTTTTTTTTGTTTTTTTTTTTGTTTTTTGAGACAGAGTCTCGCTCTGTCGCCCAGGCTGGAGTGCAGTGGCACAATCTCAGCTCACTGCAAGCTCCATCTCCCGGGTTCACACCATTCTCCTGCCTCAGCCTCCCAAGTAGCGGGGACTACAGGCACACGCCACCATTCCCGGCTAATTTTTTTGTATTTTTAGTAGAGACGGGGTTTCGCTGTGTTAGCCAGGATGGTCTCAATCTCCTGACCTCGTGATCCACCCACCTCGGCCTCCCAAAGTGCTGGGATTACAGGCATGAGCCACCGCGCCTGGCCAGGAGCAGGGTATTCTTAATGCACACAGTGTATCCAACATGCGTGAGTTACAAAGCATGAGGTTTTGCTTGTGCTGATTCGTGTCACAACCTCCTTGGCATTATTTAAATGTAGTGTTTGGTATGCAAATATAGATAACACCAAAAGTAACATCTAAACGAGAACAAAACAAGAACAATACAAACTGGTTAAAAATAATTCCACGTATGAACATATCTATGGACTGCAAACATTACCCTTTTAGGCCATGAATATATATTTGCAGATACTTCATCCAAATATTAACACACTTTTTCTTTATGCACAAAATTTTGTGTGTGACATATACTGAATGTGTGCTCTCTGTATTTAACAAAGTTGCGGGGGTGTGTATTCTTATTTCTTCCACCCAAATAAACAAGCAGACTGACATCACAAGGCTTCTTTTTACTTAGGCAGAATATTGAGCAAACAAATATTTATTCTGGGTTACTCAGCTGTGATACATAAGGGGATTCATGACATGCTATGTCTGGTGCCTGCTAAGCTCTTACGAGATAATTGCACCTTGGACCACCTAGGACATCACATTAAATGGAGAGACCTGATTTTAAAATTTAAAAAACACAGAATGGGCAGAATTTAATCAGTCATGCTTCTATAAAATTAAGGAAGATATAAATAAATGGGCAACAGAAAGGTGCAATAAAACCAGGATTAATCAAACCGTGATTAATTCAGGATCAGATTAAAACCAATAGTGCCAGCTGTATCTGATCCATTCTGCAGCATTATTCTCTCCTGCTCCTTTTTGTTTTCCCATTTTTCCTCCTTCTCATTCCCCTTTGCTCTCACCCCTAGGGCACCCTCCTTGGTGGATAAACCTGCAGGAGAGTTAATTGTCACATACATGGATTTAATCACATTGTCCATCACATTTGGGGGCCCTGCCTTCAGCGATCCATGACTAATTGTTGTGGTAATTTTTCAATCATTAACAGCAGCGCATATGCTGCAGACAAATCCCAGCGTGCCTGCTAAACCCCAGTGACATGCGGCCCACAGGCTCCAGAAGCACCACTACACCAGCCCCCAGCCCCAATCCTATTAGTCATGCGTCGTCATTAATATACATCTATTCCAGGGATATGTCAGGCAGCAATGAGGTCGGAGGGGGCTGAGCATGCTTTATAACACAGCCTTGTTTTCAATCTATTCTTTGAAAAAGGAAGAGGAAGAGGAGGAGAAAAGGAAATTAAAACTCCATGTGGGATAAGGAGCTGGGGGACTATTCTGAATTCCACTTGTTTCTCATTCATTTTCAGGCAGGCTCCTGAGCTGTGGCAAATGCCCTTTCTTTGGGTTTCAGCAGTATTAGCGATCTCCATGGCAACCACCAGTACGCATCTGCTGCACCACACTGCAGCTTCCCTGGGCTCAATTCTCAAGTCGCCCTGGTGTCAGACGGGGCGCACCATGTGCACTGGTGGGACAAGACCCTGCCTTGGGGAATCATCCAGCTGATTGAAGCCCAGCTCTAATCACCACATAATATGAGCCAACAAGATCATACAGAATATGATCTGCCTACACTAGGCAATAGGATTCCAGGACTGCTATTTATTTTTCATTTTCCTTTTCTTAAGGGCCTTTGTTGGTTAAAAGCAAAGAGCCACTAGAATAGCTATCTAACAAAAGGGATTAATTTTAAAATAGGTGGTACAGTGTTGCTGGTAACATTTACTTCAAGCAAAAATCTCATATGTCCTTCATTAAAGGAATTATTCAAGAGGAAATTAAAAGTCCTGGAGTTTCCCTTTGGTTCTTCGTAAATGAAGGGCTAGTTGGGATATTAGCCAGAGCAAGAAAAGGTAAGAGAAGGATTCCTGGGTTTTTGCTGAAATTCTGACTCTTGCTATGGAGTCTCAGGAAATTCCCTCTTATACCCAGTTTCCCCAAGATTAAAATAAGATCTACTTATTTTAGGCGCTTAGCACCGGATCACTAACAAGGCCTCGGCAAGACTTAATTAATACGTGCAATTCATTTTTAGCTCCTCAAATGAAAGACGTTTGGTGCAGGCTCCACTATTATGAAATGAGGGGCCGAGCGCCCTCTACTGCTGCTTCTGGGTCAGTCTCTCAGTGGCTGAAACCCCTCAGTGGGGTTCACTTATTGTTAACATGTAACTCTCACACTCTAGCTTAGAAAGCCTTTTCTGATCAGTAAGAGCAGGAAGAAAGGAACACAGGAAGAGGAAGAGAACCAGATAATAGACTGGCTGTTATAAATAGAATATACCTGTACCAAGACTATTCAAAGGTACTTGAGGTTAATACAGCAAAGGGAGAAAGGTCTGCGAAAATTCAGAGTGCTCAATTTTGTATCATGAACACATATTAAAAAGATAAAAAAATTGAGTCTCTTTACTTTCCACTCACCTTCTTCCAGGACAATGATACTTATAGGATCTCATTGATTTGTCTATTTTCTAGAAAAGTTAGATGAAAAAGAAAGCCTTGTTTTTCTTGGAATTTTTAATAAACACAGGACTTAGATTCCAACTTTGTTTTTCAGTTTAGTAGCAACAAACCCAGTCCCATGCGCTATACAGAACTACACAAACTATACGGAACAAATCCACTTTGAGCCTTACATATAGTTACTAGTTATTCTAATAAAAAATTACAGAGGAGAAAATAAAATGATCTGAATATTACTCTTATTCTTTTTTCCATTATGTAATGATGATACTTAACATGTATACATCTGGAAATACGAGTTTGGTGTAGAGCTGAAATTGGGTAGTGTATAGTCATCCCTCAATATCTGCAGGGGACTGGTTCCAGGACACCCTGCAAATACCAAAACCTGAAGATGCTCAAGTCCCTCATATAAAATGGCATAGTATTTGCATATAATCTATGCGCATTCTCTTGTACACTTTAAATCATCTCTACGTCTACTTATAAAACATAATACCATGTAAATGCTATGTAAATAGTTGCTATACTGTATTGTTTTTTACTTGCATTTTTTTTCCTGAATATTTTTGATCCACACTTGGTTGAGTCTGCGGATGCAGAACCTGCAGGTATGGAGGGCCAACTGTATTAAAGAAATTCTGCTTCTTTATCAAAAATTAACTCCTTTTGGAATGGTGTTGTGAACAATAATATTAATAATAAAATAGATAATAATGAAGTCTACTACTCATTGAAGTTTTATTGTGTCAGAAACTATTCTAAGTGCTCTGCATCCATCACTTTTTAATTTTTACAACTCTTCAAGGTCAGTACCAGTATTATTCCTATTTTTGAGATGAGAAGAATGAGACTCAGAGAGGTAAGTATCTTGTGTAAGGGCACACAAATGACAAATGACAAAACTAGAATTCAGATGCAGAACCTCAAAATCCTAAACCCACAAAGTAAGCCATTAAACTATATTGAAAAACACTGATTAGAAATCTAGCTCCCTTAAAGGAAAAAGAAAAGTTGTAAAAGCTCTGTTCATTCTTATATATTTCCTACTCCAAATCCAAACCTTATCTTTTTAGAAGCAATGACCGCATATTTTTCCATCGCCTTTAATTTTTTCATGAGACATTATCCATTGACACTTGAAGCGAGTCATCCTGACTGACAGAAACCCAGTTCCTTTAAGAGATGCCGAGGGCAGTGTACAGAACATTCTACACAACTAAATTCCAGAGCCTGGCAGAGGGTCTGAGACTTGCTGGGGTGGCAACTAACAGCTAAGTACTGGATCATGACATGCTGCAGTGGGAGAAGGAGTTTTCTCAGCTCTCTGCAGCTGTTTAGAGAGAAAATCAAGAAGGTATCCAGCGGAGGGATTAGCTACTGTCACCCGCTGAAGGACACACAGCAGGGATATGAAGTGTGGGGCGGGGCTCCGCACAATGGGAGACAGGCCGGTTCTGCTGTGAGGTAGTGAGAACCGAGTGGGGTCAAGGCAGTGCAGCAACGCACAGGACAGGAACCTCGGTGGACCAAGCAAGTGGTGAGTGATGATAGCTGCATGAGGGAAAACAGCAGGAAGTGCGAGCTGGGAGGCTGACTGTGGGCCTGCCACCAAGTGGTCCCAAGAAACAGTCGCTGGAAGTGGCAATGGCTAAACACTGGTTTCTGTGAAGACATCTGTGTAAGGGATTCATGTCAGTCTCGAGCCCTTTTCAAGAACCCAAATCTCATCAGGCTTGAAATGACCAGAATCCGGTAAACTGAGATTGGCAGGAAGATACATTTTCAAAATTTACCCGTCACATAACAGCTGGAAAAGGGAGTTATGGTATGCCAAGTCATATACACATCTGTGTTATATGGATACAAATTCCAGATACGGAAATCCTTAAACTTCATCATTCCAAAAGGATATGACTATCCAGGAACATCTCCCATACATTACCCTGTAAAGACAAATGAAATCATCTTTCTACTCTTATCTCACTGTCATTTTCCTGTGTAAGATCAGAAACAGACCACAGCATGCTAGCATCGCATTCTTGTGAAAGTATGAATAACCGGCTAATTGTTAGAAAACAAAATGGATTGCTGATTATGCAAGGAATCTGTAATCCATTCTGCAGACACAGGAAAAAAATGAACAATCAAACACTGGCATTAGAATAGTGTCATTACCTTTTATGAATGAAATGGCCCTCTTTGAAACAGATTCAAAGATTTCTGGTCGAATTATATTTTAAAACATAAGTATTCTTTCTATAATATTATGGATTATCCTTAAATAATTCTTTCCCTAAATATGAAGCACTTGATGAAAATATTAAAGGGAATTCAATTATTGTAATAAGATACAACATCACCGTCACACAAATTCTCCTTTTCTTTCATTATATGGCTAACTTTTTTTCTTTCTTTTTTTTTTTTTTACTTTTACCAGCCAAGGGAAAAAATATCTAATTGGCATGCTCTGAAATCTTGAGCTAACCCTGGTACTACAGATGTGTAATCTTTCACGGTTTGGCAATATTATTTTGCAGTGCATCGTAGAATGAGAAATGCCACTTAGAAAATCATGGGCTTTGATGTTGCTGACACAAAGAGTTTCCATGACACTGAAGCTCTTAAAAGAGTTTATCTTGATGTATATAACATGTCACCATAACTCTTGGGTTGAGAATATCACCACTTTCTGAAAGCAGGGACAGACAAGATGCTCTCTCAGGTCCCTTCCAACTCTGATATTTGGTGGCTATAAGTTTTTACTACTGGCCTCAGCCTCTCAGTCAGGAAAATGAATAATAAACGTTGCACCAATATATATTCTATTTAATGACATTCTGAAGTTAGCCATGTTATTAAGAAAATAAATGTTTTGAAACATAGTTCATCATTCCCTTCTGATAACTTTCTTAAGGTAATGAGCATCTATAATCATCAAAATGTATATCTAGAATCATAGAACCATAAAATGGTAAGGCATAAGTCATCTTAGAAATCATCTTTTGGTCTGACCACATTTATTTTACTGATAGGAAACACAGAGGTCCAGAGAAGAAGAATAAGAACAGTAATGATGATAATAAAACTTATGACTATCATTATCATCATCAAACTAACATTTATCCACAGAAGAGAGTGGAAGCTACTGGAAAAAATTAGATTGTTCACCTATAACATGTAGCATGGTGGGGGTACTGTCAGTATGGAAAGCCCACATTCTGAGGAGTTGACACAGGAAGAGGATATAGCAACGTTGACTAAGAAAGGAGATCACTGAAGAATATTTTATTAACATTTCAGACCTATTGTATCTTATTTCAGCATCTAAAACCTCATGGGCAAATGTTGTTAGCTCATAAGCTTGTAGGACTCTAGATATTACAATGAGAAATTACTTGGGCAATGATCATGAACCTCCTTAGAAATGAAATGGCCCCTAGATTAGGGCTTCTGAAGCTTTGAAAGTCATTCTCCAACTGCAGTAAAATGTTGTTACTGAAACCTTAAAATGCCCATTTAAGGATTGGTTAAGAATGGGTAACCACCTGTGGCAATAAATAAATAAATAAAAATAAAAAATAAATTATTAAATTCATACAGTCAAAAAATGTAAACCACAGATAGAAACATTTAATCTAATTTAAACAAACTAATTCTTAAAAATGGAGGGCTCAACAACCAATAAATCGGGAAGTGACTATTCAACTTACAGAATAATTCACTGCTGGTATCCCATGGTCCATCTATAAAACTTTAATTTGTATTCAATGTCTCAGGAGGACATCTGTTGCACGAACTGAAGAATATGTGCCTCTTATCATTCCTGCACAGGCTGTGCTAGTAAAGAGAGAAGTCACTGCAGCATAAGGCCGAGGTGCCCATGTGCTCATGGGTTCAAGGAATCCATAGAAGAGCCAGCATGGGCTGCTGACTCCAAATGGGCTCCATTCCCAACTCAGTGCTTCTCAGAGGTGGGTAACAACTTCCTGCACCAGAATCACCAGGGGTGCTGCTTCAGTCTACAGATCCCAGGCACCACACACAGCCTTGCATTCGACTCTCTGGAAGGAAACAGGCATTTTTATCCAGCTCCCCAGGTTTGAAAATCACTGAGTCACTTTGCCAGCATGCCTGAGAATGAGCTCTCAGTGGATGGCTGGGTGCCATCAGGACCATTATGAAGTCTCATATCCTCTGGGTTGATGTGAAACTGAAACAAGCCTAGGGAATAACAAACAAACAAAACTTCCAATGAGGTATACAACATATTTCCTTATCTTCTTCCACTAAACATTTATTATGTTTTCAGAGCTAAGCCTGGGAATATAGAGCTGACTAAGACATGGCTCTTGCCTTTAAGGAGCTCAGCATCTAGTGGGGGCAACAGGAAGGAGACCAAGAAATGACACAGGCATGACAATGGCACCGGAGAGAGGTACACAGAGCATTTCAGAAATACAAATAAAGGTTTCATGTTGGCCTGGAGTTGGGGATAGGAATGGAAAAGGAGGGGCAGAGGCAGGATCTGTGAAGACTTTGCAGATGAGAAGCAAATTAAATCTTCAAGGATGAGTAGAAATTAAGGGAATGGGGAAGGCACTACAGCCAGGAGTGGCATGTGTAAAGTTACCAAGGCAAAGAGAGAAGGAGCATTCAGAGAGCTACGCATTACCCATCGCCGTTGAAAAGAAAGAACTACACAGGTGTTGTGTGTAAGAAATGAGCTTCAGAAGTCTGCAAAGATCAGAAAAAAGAGGCAGGTCTGTCCTGCTAAGGGCCACACACCACAGAGTTATTGAGGTATGTTAAAAATAAGGATAAAATTGATTCTCCTACAGTGGAAGCATTATAGACATGGGAAGAATCCAGACAGAGGTTGATAAACTATTTTTGAAAAAAAATTCTTTTTTTCAAAAAAAGTATGGCTATGAAGAGGTCTTTATGTTATATAAGTTCAAATTAAATAAATAAAAAAAGCTAATGATGCTTACATTAAAAAAAAAACTTCCAATGAATGGACTTTTAATGCCTCCATTTATTGAAAGAAAAAAAGATATCTCCTAGTGCTTATCAAATAATTTCTGACAAATACCAAAGGTTATAGGACTGGTTTTCACAGGAGTACTTAGAGAGACATGGCTATAGAAGGTAACACTGGGTTGAGAATTAGAGGTGTGTCCATCAGTGTTAATGGGGATGAAACAGATAAATGGAAAGACCAGGGGGTCTTTAAAAAGTCAGAACAGAAAATCGATTGGAGATATAGTCTGAAGCAAGGTGCTGAGCTGGTCTAGTTTTAGTTAGAAGCCAATGAGCAAAATAGCAAGTAAATTATAATACGCAAGTAAGACTAGTATAGTGCCCGGACTAAGTTAACTTTAAACTAGTATTAACATAAAATGAAGAAACAAATAAAAAGTATGCACATCACCAACCAACCACCTTGCTAACCGTGCTCTCAGAATTCTGTTTTTACTTTTTCAAATGATGTAGGCTTAACAGACAGTTGCTGAAGATGAAGAGCACAAGTTCAGTTTGCATCCTAATACAACTACACAAAAATTAACTATTAAAAGCAGATTTTTTTCTCCTCTTTTTGCTTTTAAATAGATTTGACTAGTACTTGAGATTAAAATGGACTTTTCCAAGGATGTTCCACATATCTATTCCTTTCAAGAGGACTGTATTTAAAATGCCTCCAAGAAATGAAAATCTACTCAGTAAATTTCAAAACTCTAACATACTCTTCATAACTCAGTTCAAGCTTCCGCACTCTCCACCAGCTAGAGGGTCTTCCTTATATCTTATCTAAGGCCCCCATGCTGCAGCCCGCACGACTCCTCTAGTTGTTCTCTTCAAGGACACTGAAAAAGATAATTCATCCTCTTTGTAGAAAGATGTTCATTTTGTTATTTTCATGTTAAGATGTGATTTCATTAATAAATTGTTGACCTCTCCAAGGAGGCCAATTTCTTTCTTTCTTTCTTTCTTTAACCCTGTAAGAGATACTTTTCTCTGGTTTGTGGTTTGAAAAATTTTCATGTATTATAAAAATGTACGGAATGCTGGTCTGCTGCTGATTTCACAGTTATAGGAAAATACTGTATGTGGTCCCAGTACTATACGAGCTTATAAATGAAAGAGGAAAATAGGTATCTAATAGGTTGAGGAAAACCTAAACACTACTAAGGAATGTTCTCATTCCTGGCAATTGAGTAAAGGTAAGGAGAGCATTCGAAACAGAGAAGGGAAAAAGTGACAAAGCAATCTTATAGGTTCAGCAAGGCCTGACTCGGGCAGCAGCTCTTTCTCCCCTAACATATCCCCAATAGTGAGGAAGACCTGGAATAAGCTAGAAGACAGCCCAAGATTCCCAATGACTCCACCCAGAATGCTCTGATGGACTTGGAGGACACTGGCCTGAGGGCCAGTCCAGGTCAGGACTGTCCATTGTGGGAGTGTGAAGCCTGCACATATGGTGGAACCAGCTGCTGATCAAACCAGCTGCTCTGCCGAGTCGCAGCCTGTTCCTCAAGCTCAGCTGGGTGGCAACATAAGAAACTATTTCTGTCTATCCAAAATGTAATGCTGGCCCCTTAACAGGGACTAACTTTCCTTTGCATTTCTAGGAAACAGCACACAGCAGGTGTTCAATAAATGCTGCTTAGAAATGAATAAACTGGTTAATAAAAAAATAAGATGGAGAAGTGCAACCAAATGTACATACTTAAGTCCAGAGGTTGAATCGTGGTTTACTCCACAGCACCTGCCATGAATCCCGACACTAGAACAACCCCTTATGAAACCTGCTGTGCCTGAAGTTATTAGCACGACTACATTACCTTACTAAAGACTCTTCCATTCCTTCACTTTAACAAGGCCTTTCCCAGCTGGCTATTACTGGGAGAAGGGGAGAGAGGAAATCAGTAATGTAAACCAGAAGGAAAATGAAAGAAATGCAGGGTTGAAACATGCTGTTAAGGGACTCACTATGCAGAATCCACCAAGCAATTTTCATGCACAGGGCAACAGAAAAATGACATGTGCTATGTGCTTTAATCCCACTTTTTTTTTTTTAAGAAAACAAATCTGCTCATAATGCTGTTGATATATTTATGCCACAGGCATAAGAAATGAAATCCACAGATAATTTGTATTATTAAAGTTTTAACACACCTATTATTGTTGAAAATTTTTCCTATGATAGTTTCAATACAGGTATAATAACATAACAATGCTCTTTCTCCTTCCTTACAAAGACGAGGCCACAAAACAAATGCCCTAAACTCAAGAAAGGAATTTTACTGTTAGTTTTTTTACAGATGACAAGAAAGTCAGCCCATGCAATGGATGAAAGTAGATCCACACCAAGGTACACAATGTGAGGTTTCAGAACGCACAAGGACAAAGGAAAGGTTCCTGAAAGCCTTCTAGAACTAATAAACAACTTTAGCAAGGCCACAAGATACAAGATCGTCATATGAAAATCAATCATATTTATATGTACTAGGAATAAACAATCTGAAAATGAAATTTAAAAAGCAATCCCATTCACAATATCGTTAAGAAGAATAAAATACTTAGAAATAAATTTCATTAAAGAAGTGCAAGACTTGTACTCTAAAAACTATAAAACACTGCTGAAAGGAATTAAAGATGATCAAGTCAGAGGCCCAGGGTCCGGCCTCCAGCTTTCGTAAATAGTTACTGGAACACAGCCCATTGTCCACACTACTTTCTCACCACAATAGCCGAGTTGAATAGCTGTGGCAGAGACTGCAGGGCTTACAAAAATAATTCTTCACTACCTAGCCCTTTCAGAAAAAAGTTTGCCAAGCTCTGATATAAATATAAATTCCATCCTAACTCAATACTATTGAGATGGCGATTTTCTCTAAATGATCTAAAGATTCGATGAAATTCCTATCAAAATTCCAACAGACATTTTTGTGAGATTGACAAAATTGGTATTCTAATACAAAGGCAGTAGAATAGCCAAAAGAATTTTGAAAGAAGAACAGTTTGAGAACTTAACACTAACCAATTTTAAATAGATTCTAAAGCTTCAATAGTCAAGACTGCACAGTTCTATATACAGATTTTCAACAAAGATACCAAGGCAATTCAATGGGGAAGGACTAATTTTCTCAACAAATGGTTCTAAACAAATGGATATACACATTCAAAAAGATGAATTTAGAACATTTCCTTATGTCACACACAAAATTTAAATCAAAATGGAAAATATAGCACAATGCAGGAGATAAAATAATAAACTTCTAGAAGAAAATATATGGGAGAATCTATGTGACTTGGGTTAGTCAAATAGTTCTTAGGTACAACACAAAAATCATAATCCATTAAAAAAATGGATGAATTAGATTTCATTAAAATTTAAAATTTCAAAAGATACCACTAAGAAAATAAAAAGACAAGCCACAGACTAGAAGAAAATATAAGCAATCATACATATAATAAAGATCTTATATCTAGAATATATAAAGAACTCTTACAACTGAATAATAAGACAAATAATCCAATTAAAAATGGGCGCAATATTTGAATAGGTATTTAATCAGAAAATATATACAAATGGCTACTAAGCATATGAAAAGATGCTTAACATGATTATTCAAGAGGAAAATGTAAAGTAAAACTAACGAGATACAAACTCACTGGGATGCCTATTTTCAAAAAGTCAGATAATACAAAGTGTTGGTGAAGATGTAGAGAAACTAGAACCCTCATGTATTGCTCATGTACGGTCACTTTAGAAAAAGTTCAGCAGTTTCTTTAAAAGTCAATCATAAGCTTACCATACAACCCAGCAATTCTACTCCTGGGTGCCTACCCCAAAGAAATGAAATCATATGGCCACATAAAGACCTGTATGTGACTGTTTATAGCATCTTTATTCATTACAGACAAAAACTGTAAAGGATCTAAACGCCCACTGACTGGTAAATAGATAAATAAAATGTGTACAATACTATTCAACAATAGTAAAGAACAAACTACTGAGACATGCTAATAGGATGAACCGCAAAACACTGTGCTAAGTGAAAAAAGCCACATGCCAAAGACTACATATTGTATGATTCCATTTACCAAAAATGTCAAGAAAAGACAAATCTATAGAAAGTAGAATAGTGGATCGCACCACTGCACTCCTGTCTGGGCAACAGCAGTGAGACCCCCCTCTCAAAAAAAGGAAGTAGAACAGGTGGCTGCCTGGGGCTGGCAGAGAGTCAGGACTGGCTGCACATGGGCATGAGGAAACTTTTTGGGGTTGATTGTGATGGTGGCTGGAAAACTCTATAAATTTACTAAATAATCCTTGAATAATTACCTAAAGTTTTCCTCAATAAGCTATTAAAAAAATGTTAAGTCCCAGGGAGAAAAACTGGCTACAAATAAATGATCAGAAATTAAAATATCTGGGCCAGGCGTGGTGGCTCATGCCTGTAATCTCCGCACTTTGGGAGGCCAAGGTGGGTGGATCACCTGAGCTCCGGTGTTCAAGACCAGCCTAGGCAATGTAGTGAAACTTTGTCTCTATTAAAAATACAAAAAATTAGCCAGGCGTGATGGTGCATGCCGGTAGTACCAGCTACTCGGGAGGCTGAGGTGGGAGGACTGCTTGAGCCTGGGAGGCAAAGGTTCCAGTGAGCTGAGATCATGCCACTGCACTCCAACTTAAATGACAGAGTGATACCGTGACTCAAAAAAAAAAAAAGACTTTAAAATGTCTGCAGTCCATCAAAACAAGCCCATAAACACACACACATACACAAACACACACACACACACACAGCCCTGGTGTGGTGTGTATGGTGGAATGGCACTCAGCATTCATTTCCACTCCCATCTGCCTTTCTGTACTACAGAATCCACAAAGCTAAACACCACATTTCCTGGCCTTCCTGACAACTGAGTTCCTTGAGTAAATTAGGTTTCTCCAATTAGATGTACTCAAGTAAGACTTGAGAAGTGAAGGTGGAGGCCATCATTCTGCAGCTTGGCTCGTTCTCCTGGTCGGCATGTAGAGGGCTACTGGATTGTTCTATAAGTACTCCAGCAGTCAGTCACCAGCTTCATGGGTATCAAGAGGCAGTAGCTGCAATGTAAGGTTCTGATCCTTGGACTGCAGCTACAGCAGAATGTTCTTGAAGTGAATAGTCACAGAGGCGGCCTCCTGACTCCCTCCCATCCCAAAGTGGCAGATAAAGCAACACCCCTGGCAGGCCAGGGCAGCTGTGTGGTTCTGGAGCATTGCTGGAAACCTAGTCTCAAGCCCACTCCTCCAGCCCTTCCAATAATTTAGAAAGCACCTAATATCTGTTTTAAGTCTCTTTCTGTTTAAAATAGCTAGTGTGGTTTCTGGCCCTCCAACTGAACGCCTGAAAAACATAATACACAGGAAGACACAGGAAGCAGTATACCTATACGATAAAAGAACAGCCTGCCTAGGCAGGGGCAGGTCAGAGGCTCTGGGACAGACATCTCCAAAAGATCAAACAAAAAGAGCGATGTATGTGAATGTATTGAGAGTCAGTTCAGGCAATTTGCAGAGAGTATGTGTTTGCATTATTGAAAAGCATACAGAAAACTAAGCAGACAAAAAAAGACTGAAGAAAAAGTTATGTGAAAGAGAAAAGGTAATTACAGTTTACTAAATATTTTACCTGTGGATAGCATCAGTCAAAATAACCTAATGCAGAGCACCGATCTATCCCAAAACACGCTCTAACTGCAGAGAAGTTAGATGAATGAAAAGGCTGCCTTTTGGTTGGTTTGGTGTTAGGGTAGGGAAGACATGGCTAAGTCCTCATATTTCACGTTGCATGGTCAAAGGAGAATATTTAAAGCGGAAAGAAATCAAGGAGCAGCAATACGAACATGTTACTTAGAGATACAGAGAATGATTCCAAAGACTCAGATGTCAAACAGTTGAAACTGGCAGCCTCTAAGGAGGAAGAAATAGGAAGGTGGAGGGAGGTGGGGAAAAGGGAAAGGCATACAGGAGACTGCTGGGGCTTGGCACTAAACTTTGCAGAATGATTTGACTCCTTAAGCTAGAAAGGGAGTAAACTTTAATGGAAAGAATAGAAGTCTTTTTTTAAAAAGAGTAAAGCAAGAGGAACAGGCAGTGACATGGAGTCTCTGCATCATTCTAAGGCCAAAGTGCTGTGGTCAAAATGATGTCCCTCCCGCTCTGGGCACACCGACATGGGCAGCAGGCAACCGGAGCACATTCCACCACCGCCCACAAAGGTGGCTGGGTCACTGAGCCAACAGCACAAAAGAGGAAAGGAAAGAAGTTCCCACAAAAGTGGAGCCAGAATAATATAAGAAAATCAAATCGAAAAGACATCCCAGTATACTAGGGTCAAAAAAAAAATCATAAATTGCTTTTTAGAGATAAAAGATCTGGAAAAAAAGTTTGAAGCAACCACTAACAACGAACTCTGTCCAAAAGAGTTGTGAAAATACCAACATTTTTAGCTAAAGGTTAATTAGATTGCCTAAATTCAAATTTGTTTCTGATGTATCCAAGAGTTTCCATTTCTAGAAATATGTTAAACTAATTTGTTTTTCTTAGAAGTAATGCAGGTCCAAGACACGGATTATTAGACTGCTCTCAGAGGAATCATGTTTCCCTCCATGCTGGCCACATGGACCAGTGTCATCAGTTCTGTTGAACATTAAGAGACAATGTTAACGTTTCACAAAGCAACACATCAAGTGGAAACAAATCCATTTCATCAAATTAATATATTTCATGCTTTAATTTTAATGGAATGCATCTGAGAGAACAAAAGAATAAAAACTACTACCACCATCCTTGTTAAAATGTATCTTCAGGGTAGAATGGCACCATTTGTACAGTCATGGATGGCCCTTCTCACCACAACAGACAAATCTGCACTTGCCTGGCAAAATTTCATTCTTCCTGCAATCAAATTGCTACCAGCATGTTTGTGAACACTGTAAACCTGCCCATGTTGATTCTTGAAATGAAAAATATCAAGGGAAATAAATAATCCTTTACTCCCTGCCATTCTTAGGAATAAGAAACAGACATTTTGATGAGGTAGAAGAAACAACAAACATGTCCTTATTTAGCAGGCTTCTGCTTGGAAGTGCCAGTCTCAATATTATCCACGTGTATGAGGTGGATTATATAACTGCTCAGGGCTGATGGGCCTGATCTCTATGTGGGAAACAAGATCCTGATTTTATGCTCTTAATAATTCACTATGATTAGCAGTTATGGGGGAGGTGGATCTGAGTCACCTCCTGCTCTTCCCATTTGTGAATTCATGTTTGACTACAGTGGCCCTTGCTCTGGCTGGCCAAGGGGCTGGACAGCAGTCCCCTTCTAGGGCTCCAGTGCTCCTCAGCCCTGGCAGGAAGGCCAGCTTTGCCAGCCTAGGCTTCTTGCATCCCTAGCCCTGGAAGGGCCTCAGGTGTTTCAGACACAGGTACAGCCAGCTCTTGCACAAACCCCTTTCCTGCCAAGCCAGGACTGCATTTCCAGTCATGGGCAGGCTTTGCTGCAAATGATTACACAGGACTAAACCTAGACAGACCTGAGGAGCAGAAGGCAGAGTCAAGCCAAACCAGAGCCAAGGGGAAGGGAGCCAAGGGGACTTGGCCATGGGAGCAGACACACAAGCTGCGCCCTGGAGCTGATCGAGTCCCTCGCAGGAGAGGGCTGGGCAGAGGAACCACGACGGCCATGCGGAAGCCACACAAGAGCGATCCAATGTCTCATCTCCGCCCTCAATCATGGCCTCCGCTGATGCCAAAGTAAACCCATTCAGCTTCAGGAGGCTTTTCAGCAAACAAAGCATAATTTGTACGACGGATCTGTGTGTTACAGGTAGGAAATACTCCTGAGTGGGGAGATCTGGAAGCTTTCTAATATTACAATGCTCTTCTATTGCTGAATTTCTCCCTGGATTTATAGCCTTGGTTGACACATCAGCTTGTGAGTTACTTATTTTTCTTTGACTCAGTTTCCCCTGAGAGAAACAGAAATAAAAACCCTATGTTTATTTCCACCTCTCAAATTCAACTATCCAGGAATTAAATTCTGTTTATTTCAGGCTATTAAATATTCATGGAGTCCAAGAACCAGGTGCTTTAGGAGATTAAAAAATAAATAAAACACAGGCCCTGCTATCAAAGAGCTCAGACCTAGAAAGTTTAAAAATATTCTCAAATAACCATGTCAAAAGGTAAAATGTGGTAAATATCACAGGAGATTATGATAACAGTCTGCTCAACAAACAATTTCAGGGGATCTGGTATGTGACAGGCATTGTGATAGGCACGGAAAACAAGATCAAAAACGTCGGCCAGCCCTTCCCCCGCAGCTGTGGATGGTGCAGCAGGGACTGAGAGATTCAGGGAGGAAGAAATAATCTCTGATCCCAGTGGCCGAGAATTGGGTGACAGGGTGCTGGCAAGCTCTGATGGCACTGCCATTCAATACCCATGCCCCCTGACCATAGGGGTGGGAGGTGGGTGTGGTGGAGGATGTTGGCAGGCAGAGATAGTGAGTCAGCTTCTGAACTGTGAACACACACACAATGGCCTGCAGATGAGACAGGGTGCACCCCATGTGCTGGAGACACCGGGCTGCCAGCTTGCCCACTGACGTGGACATATGTAGGGGAAAGGGAGGAGGGTGGCTCGGGGCCTGGCTGGACAAGCAAGTATTCGTACTTTTGTCTTGCACACAGTAGAGGATCACGGGCATTTGAAATGACACAACTGGAAGCTAAATCCAACAGCAGGGGAGACCCTTACCAAGGCGAGGTAAGTGGGCTACCCTCGGCCTCCCTTTCCCTGCTGTTGTTTTGGTAGCTGGACAGGGCTAGGGACAGGAATATCCTTTCCTTCTGTGGACGGTTTGGGGGTCATGAGCAATGCCCTGAGGGAGCCATTTTCACCAGCCAAGGTAAGATGGAGCCTCACTTTCCAATCTTTTCAATCCTGCCTGCTAATGACCCTGCCCATCTCTTTTTTTTTTTTTTTTTTGAGATGGAGTCTCGCTGTGTTGCCCAGGCTGGAGTGCAATAATGCCATCTCGGCTCACTGCAACCTCCGCCTCCCAGGTTCAAGCAATTCTCCTGCCTCAGCCTCATGAGGCTGAGCTTACAGGCACGCACCACCAAGCCTGGTTAATTTTTTGTGCTTTTAGTAGAGGTGGGGTTTCACCATGTTGGCCAGGCTGGCCTCGAACTCCTGACCTCGTGATCCGCCTGCCTCGGCCTCCCAAAGTGTTGGGATTACAGGCGTGAGCCACCGTGCCTGGCCAACCCTGCCCATCTCTTTATTCAACATATTCTCCAGCCACAGCCTTTAATCACACAGAACCTTTCATAAATTGGGACTAAATAGTAAGCCCTTCAAATGCTGCGTGAATGCAAGCTGTAGGAGGACAAGAACACGGCTTTGTTTGTACTCTGCTGTATCTCAAGCACCTGGGAGAGTACCTGGCACATAGTAGGCATACAATAAATATTTGTTTATTTTTTGCTTTTTGTTTTTTTTTGAGACAGGGTCTTGCTCTGTCACCCAGGCTGGAATGCAGTGGCACAATCACAGCTCACTGCAGCCTCGACCTCCAGGCTCAAGCAATCCTCCTGCCTCAGCCCTCCAAGTAGCTGGACTACAGATGCACGCTAATGTGCCTGGCTAATTTTTGTAATTTTGGAGAGACAGGGTTTCACCACGTTTCCCTGGCTGGTCTTGTACTCCTGGGCTCAAGCAATTTGCTTGACTTGGCCTCTCAAAGTGCTGGGATTACAGGCATAAGCTACCGCGCCCAGCCTTGTTTGTTAAGTGAACAAATGAAGCTTGATGCATGGAGGGAGTATAAACTGAGATAATAAATAATCTTAAATACCATTTCTAATAGCTTCCTTTTATAGATGAGAAACTGAGGCTCAGAGATGTCAAAGGATTCCTCTAGGGCAAACAGTCAGCCAGACAGTAATCAGTTAGTTAAAAAACTATTGTCCAGGCCTCCGATGCTGAGTATAAAGCTCTTTCTACTATCCTACATTACTTCTGTTTTTTGCATTTTCAATGACCTATAATTAAGAGCAATGAAATTAGAAAGCAGCAGTTTATAGATCTCCAAAGAATTTTATTCTAAAGATGTTTAGAACCTCCATGACACAGGATATTAAGGTAATAAAAACAAATTAGAAGTAGGATGGGGGAAACAAGCTGATTTCAGGTCAATGAAATGAAAGCAACACTCTCTCTCTGTGCATTTACAACGCTGCTGCTTAGAATTTCTGAGATTACCTCCATTACTCTGCTTTGAAATTGCTCAGTAAACTACATCAGACATTACTCCACTAACACTCTCACAATCTGGCCGTCCCTGCTGCTTCCCTGGAGACTAACACATACCCAAGCTTCAAAAATTTTCCCTTGGCAATAAAAGTGTATATATTTTGAAAGGCAATAAAATAGAGGCTTGTGTCATCTTTGGAGGGGCTTTTTGGAATCTTCTGCAAAGATTTAAAAATCAAAAAGCTGCTTGGTAACCATCTGCAGGGTAAGAAACAAATAAGCAATAACCAAGACGGTTTTGAATGAAAACCGGAAAAGGAAATCTCCTCACAATGACATCAAAAACAAGTACACGTGACCACCCGCTCTGTGCCAGGTATCGTGCTAGATGCTGGTGGGTCAGCAGTCTATGACCAACAAGGTCCTTGTCCTCAGGGCACTTGCAGTCTTGGGAAGGGGAAGCTAGAATCAATGACATTAAATAAAGACATAATCACAATTGGTTTACTACAGTGGTGATGCCTGCTGTGAACAAGACATGCAGGTGCTACTGGAGTGGGTCACAGGGTCATCAGATGTGCCCAGGCAGTCCCAGCAAAGGAAGGGAGAACCGAAAGGCTTGCTCAGCTGGAATGACGGTGAAGGCGGGTCCGCATGGCCAGAGAGCTGGTCAGAGCAAAGCAGAGTAGGCATTGCCTTGGAGGACACATTCACTACAGATTTGGACCTTTACCCTCAGAGCAATGAGAATCCAAAGATTATACGGAGATTATCGGGACCGAGAGTTAACTGTTAAAAGATTATTCCTTAAAAAACAAGGCCAGGCTCAGTGGCTCACGCCTGCAATCCCAGCACTTTGAGAGGCTGAGGTGGGTGGGTCACAAGGTCAGGAGATTGAGACCATCCTGGCTAACACGGTGAAACCCCATATCTACTAAAAATACAAAAAATTAGCCGGGCATGGTAGCATGCACCTGTAATCCCAGCTACTCGGGGGGAGGCTGAGGCAGGAGAATCGCTTGAACCTGGGAGGTGGAGGTTGCAGTGAGCCGAGATCACGCCACTGCACTCCAGCCTGGGCGACAGAGTGAGACTCCATCTCTAAATAAATAAATAAATAAATTTTAAAAAAACAAGTGTTGATATTTTCAGAACAGTACAAACAGTTTGAAATAAGCAAATGTAAATTAGGATGTAAGGATTATTTGACAGCATTCACAAGTGACAGCAGAAAGGCATGTCCATGGGTCTAAAAAAAAAAAAATGGAGGGAGAACTTAGTAACCCCAAATGGCACTGATAAAAGTACTAGGCATACTGCTTTGAAAAAAACAAACAAACCAGGGACATGATGTTTCTAAAGATTGTACTAAAATTCAAGATTTGTCAAAATAATCAATTTTTTAATTTAGTGTATAAGCTAAACAATAATAATAATAATATTGATGCTATTATTAAAAGTAAAAGCATCCCTCCTTGTTAAACCTCCCTCGGCTCCTCCAGCCCACACTGGTCTTGTCATCTTTTGAATTCACAGACCCCACCTGATGTCTAAGCAGGTGCACAGCAGTAAATCAGGCACGGCTTCGTGGGCTCTCCCGTACGGTTCCTCATTATTCAACTCCTGCATTTAACATACTTTCCATGTGTTTATGCCTAGACTACCCACTGGCACTGTGAGCTCCTTCAAAAATTCCTACATACCTTGGTACCATCTGGGGCACCTGGCAACCTGCCACACACACAGGAGCTGCAAGTATTGACTCACCAGTAGAACGACTGGTGTAAAAGATAAAAAACAGGGTTTTGGAAATAATTTGCAGATTTGGATTCTAGAGATCTTTCACAATTAACTTCATCATATGTTAAACAGAGCAAATCAAATCCTATTATACTAGTAAGAAGAGACTAAGGAATGTCAGAAAGCTCATTTTGAAATTCAACTGTTTGGAACACATTCCGCCTCATAGATGAGGGGAAATTTTTTCTCAGTTTTCTCGGTCAAGAATATTGTGCTTTCTCTGAAAAAGGATGAGCACGTTTTTATCTTGCAGACACTGTAGATAGTATTAATTAATTATGTTTCCCTCCTTCCTTTTACCACTAGGCAGCTGAAATCCAAATCTATGCTTTTTTGTGGCAACTGAGAGAAATGTATATTTCTTCGTGCAAACTTACCCTAGCTTTGTTATTTTCATATTCTTATTTTCCCTTTACCTTTTGCCCCTTGGTTTTTGTTTTCTCCAGATATATCTGTATCTACAGATGTCACTATCTCATATCCTTTACAGAACGATGTTGCAGTTAAATTTGTAAATAAATTGAATAGTTAAGCGAAGGATGCTTTAGTCCTCCACAATTTACTATGTTGTGCAAACTTCAGTAGTGGAGTTTTCCAAACCAAGGCAATTAATCCTCAGTTAAGCTGATTCTCAAACGGACCTACACAGAACGGTTTCCACTCCCATCCCGTACCCCTACTTTTGCCCACCGCACACCCTGCAAAACATCTAGTGATATGATTAGGTGGGCTTCAGGTGCCTGTCTTCAACCTTTCCACTTCCCTTAGCCCTTCACAGCATCCATTTTATCCGCTGATCTCTGGGTCCCGTCAGTTCTACTTGCCCAGGTCTCCAGAATCTATTTCCCCCCTTGAATTTCTACTGCTATAGCTGTAATTCACAGGCTCAATGTTTCTCTTCCAGGTATGATGCTCCACTTGGTCTCACTGCCTCCCGTCTCTGCTCCATCCAATCTATCTTCCAGTCCAGAAGTGAAGGTTTTGTGCCAAAATGCATTCACCCATCCAAACATTCAATAAATATCTACTAAGTACCCACTAAAGGTTAGGTGTGCGTGAAGCCCTGGTGGCAAAGAAATAAACAGACCCGACCTCTTCCCTCAAACAGCTAGTGAACAGTGCAAACCATGGCATGGTTTGAAAAATGAGCATGAGGACTGCCCAGGGTCCCTTTGGGAAATGCTGAACAGAGTGTGCATGGCACATTCAACAGTTCCTTGGAGCATGGAGTACCCACGGGCAAGAGTGGGAGAGAAAGCGAGGAGGCAGGCAAAGGCCAGGGCAGGAAGGCCCCAAAAGGCCATGTGGACCTCACCACGTGATTTCTGTTTAGAAACTTTCAATGGTGCCCCATTCCAAACCCTTAAGTATGGCCTCTGTGCGTCCTGGTGTAGCCCCCAAGCTACATTTCTGATCCATTCTCAACTCCTAGTACTGTGCTACACCCATCTACACCTCACTCCTCAAAGACTCGAAGTAAACTCATGCTCTTGGCCTGATTCAAATAATTCCCTTAGGCCACTCTGGACCCCAAACCGTCTCCTCCACATCTCGGCCTGCTGAAACCGGACTTACCGTTTCTTCAGTATAATACTGCAGCCACTAACCAGTAGGAATTAAGCATGGTCCTACCTTCAAGGAGGTTAGACTCTTGTGGAAGAAAAGGATAAGTTTAGTTAACTATCGTGTAACTATAAAAGACATGGTGATGATATGTGATAGGTGTTTCCAAAAAATCACTTCACTGTAGTAACAATACAGTGGGAAATGAGTTGTCGGACTTTGCAAGGAATGTTTCAAGAATAAAAGCATTTAAACTGATCCTTGCCAGTTAAATAGGGTCCAACCAATCACAACAGACACTAATACCAGCTGATTGTTACCTTTCCATCTCTTGCTGTACCTCGTTAACAATAGAATCTCAAAAAATGCCTGCTGAATAAACCATACATATGCATAATAAACTCCAAAAGAAAGTATTAATTATGTAGAGTATCATCCTTAATGTTACTTCTCTTCATTCTAACAAAAATCTAGAGAGGATTTTATATTAGCCTTATGCCACTGAGACTGATGTCCCCAATGTCCCCTGTAACCTCAGACATGGGTTACATGAGGACCTTAGTGATTAAAAAGTCTCCACTGGCTATTTCTCCATTGATTATGGAAATGAGCAGTGAGCCCCAGCTCCCCAATTCTTACGACAGTTCAAGAACCATCACCTTGACATACTTGAGAATTAAATACTAAGCAGAACATGTTTCCTGGAGACAAGAATAATTGAATTTTCATGAAACGTAATGCAATGTTTGTTCATTCTATGTAAACACATACAGATTGCAAGTAAGGCTAGATTAATTCCTTCAAAGCACACTAGATTTCCACAAACCTAATGAAGCTGTCTGAGGTAATAAAGCCTTAGAAGTCAACATTTGAAGACTTTTTCATTTATTTCCCTATACCTGAAGTGGCAGGATAAAAATAAGATGAAAATATAGGACTTTTATATGTAAATTAATCCCAAAGTAACTTTTCCAGGAAATATACAAAAAGTTCAGAATGAAAGCAAACTATGTGTGCATACATAGGAATGAGCAGTGGCCTAGAAAACCCTGAAGTGTTTACAGCACCTCCAATCGTATCTAAAATACTAGATTCCTGTCAGTGGAGCAGGATTTTTCCCAAATCTTCATGAAAGGAGGCTGAGGCAAACAAAGCAGAAGATGAGGGGAGGACCCTGAATACCTTCATGGAGAATCACGGAAGATTTTCCAGAGAGGCACGGCAATAATGAAAGAGACAGCCCAAGGCATGTATCCAGGGATTCCAAGCAGGGCAGACTGGAGGAGGGAAACCCTGGAGGCAAGGAGACCCCTAAGAAGAGGTTCTCAGAGAAGCCCCTGTGTGCTTCTCCCGCCTCAACCTTTGAACAGGCTGTCCCTTGTGCCTGGACTAACAGGCGGCACACTACCTCCCACACGCCAAGTCTGGATCCCTAACCCTCTGGTTTTTGTAAGGCCTACAAGCTAGGAATGAATTTTACCTTTTTAAATGGTTGAAAAACATCAAAAGAAGAATACTATTCATGATGCATGGAAATCAGGGGAAATTTTCTGTATCCGTAAATAAGGAGTTATTGGAACCCGGCCACACTTCACCGATGGCCACCGCGACCTTCACACTACAACGGCATGGGGGAGCTGGAGCAGGAGACCAAGGCCGCCCCAAACCCAAATGCCTACCACTTGGCCCCTTACCAAACTAGTTTGCCCCTGCAGCCCACATCACGCTTCCCCTCCCCCACTCCCTGTTACCACCAACCCTTACTCATTCCTCACATCTCAGAGTAGGAGGCCTTTCTGAAAGCTTCCCCAAGTCACACTAGATGCCACCTCCTACTCTTCCCACAGTGCAATGTACTGCTCTCCTCACAGCAGGTGTCAGCACACACTGACATTACACATTTACCTCACCATATTTCCCACCTGACTGTGAGCTGCAGGAGGGCAGGGGCCATCTGTAGCCTCATACAGTTGACCCTTGAACAACAAAGATTGGAACTACACAGGTTCACTTCTACACGGATTGTTTTTAACCAACTGTGGGTCAAAAATACAGTATTTGCAGGATGCAAAACCCATGTATACAGAGGGCCAACTTTTCATACACACAGGTTCCTCAGGGAAGTGCAGGACTTGAGTATGTGCAGATTTTGGTATACTCAGGAGTCCTGGAATCAATCCCACATGTATACCAAGGGATGACCATATTTTCGTCATTAATTGGTACAGCTTGAGTATCTCAAATCTGAAAAACCTGAAATCTTAAATGCTCCAAAATCCAAAACTTTTTGAGGGCCCACATGATGCTCAAAGGAAATGCTCATTGGAACATTTCTGATTTCGAGTTTTCGGATTACGAATGCTAAATCAGTAAGTATAATGCAAATATTCCAAAACACACACACACAAAATCCAAAACCTAAAACATTTCTTGTCCCAAGCATTTAACATAAGAGATATGCAATCTGTACTACCAGGTATTCAGCAAATATTGAAATGAATGAATGCATGAACAATGAATGAATAAGTCAAATAAAGACCTGAACCACATGAGAACTTTTGCCTTATGCCAATGAATTCTAGTAAATTTAATAGATAAAGGAACCCAGGAGAATATTTATTTTTCTGAAACCTTATACTTTTTGGCCTTTCTCTTCTTTCTTTATAATAATTTTCATATATACACATATATAAAAAATCTTAAGTCTATGAGTTTTCTTTTTCTTTTTTTTCTTTTTTTTTTTTTTGAGATGGAGTCTTACTCACTCTGTCAGCCAGGCTGGAGTGCAGTGGCAAAGTCTTGGCTCACTGCAACCTCTGCCTCCCAGGTTCAAGCGATTCTCCTGCCTCAGCCTCCCGAGTAGCTGGTATTACAGGTGCCCACCAACACACCCAGCTAATTTTTGCATTTGTAGTAAAGATGGGGTTTCACCATGTTGGCCAGGTTGGTCTGGAACTCCTGACCTCAAGTGATCTGCCCGCCTCGGCCTCCCAAAATGCTAGGATTACAGGCGTGAGCCACGGCACCCGGCCAGTGACTTTTAACTTCACTGATGAATTCAAAATCTCTTACAGAGCTCTCTTACGCTCTCCGATCTTTCACGTGCAACTATCTCCTAGATGTTCCTACCTAGATGTCTTATAGACACTTCAGACTTAAGAGTTCAAAAGCTTGGGTGCAACCTACATAGCTTCTCTGTCTCCATCTTGTGAAATGGCATCATGAGTCACCAAGGCTAACTTAGCACCATCCTCCATTTTGCTCACTGCTTACCCTCATTCAATCCACATATCAGATATGACTGCTTCACCCCAGGTCTACTTAATAGGCATGATGTCTATAAGAATTATAAATGCATATACTGTGTGATTTAGCAATTCCACTTCAAGAAATAAATCCTATAAATGTACTTGCACGCAAAATGTGACACATGTACATAGTTATTCACTGAAACATTGTTTTTAATAGCAAAAGAGGGAAACACACAAAATGCCCATCAAGGGAGCACTGATTAAATACATTATGGTTCATACACACAATGCAATACCATGCAGCTGTGAATAGAAATGGGAATGCTTTCTAACGTGCAAACATCTCTAAAATACACTGTAAGTGAAAAAAAAAAAACAGAAAAAATGTGTGCTGCTTTGGTTTTTAAGAAGAAAGAAAAAGAATACATATTTGTATTTGCATTAAAAAACTTAAAGGATACAGAAAAACAGACATGAAAGCAGTGGGAGGGAGAGTGTACACACTCACAGGCACACTCACACCCCAAATAAATGCATGACCTATAAAATAATTGTATACAATACATGAAGAGGCGGACTCCCTTCTTCCACTTTCTCATCGCCTTCCCTTCCCAAATACGTCTCTACTGGCTGCAATAACAACAGCACAGAGTCCACACTCCTTTAGCTTTGTGTATAAAGCCTCACATGCCAGGATTCTCTGGATCTACCTCCCACCAGCACTCTCACTGTCCCCTAGGCTACCCCAACCACACTGCGATTCTTTGTCCTCAAATAAACATTCTGGATCTTTCGAAACTCTGTATCTTTGAATGTGCTATCCCATCTGCCTAGAAGGCCCTGCCTTCCTATTGTGCTGGCAAAGGCCTATGCATTCTTCAAGACGAAGGTAAAAGAACACTCTTCAAGGTAATTCTTCTGGGATAACCTCCCTGATTCTGCAGGCCACTTGCCTCCAAGCCTGATACCATATCTGCTTATGGGGCTATTTGTGAGACTGCATCCCTCATCAAACCATTCAATCCTTAAGGGCAGTTGTGCCTTGTTCATCTTCACTTGCCAAGCATCTACCTTTCTTACAAATGCTACTCAGCCTCCCTACCTTATCCTCAGTAAACATTTATTGTTTTATCCTCAATAAACTACACAGGTTCACTTCTACATGGACTGTTTTCAACCAAATGTGGGTCAAAAACACAATAAACATTTATTGAGGATAAGGTAGGGATGATGAGTAGCATTTGTACATTTTGCCTTCTTAGGTAACAAAAGCCTTCACCTAACAGTTTCCACTTCCCTGGATAATGTTCTTTAAAAATGTCTCCACCATGAGGAAGAGGTTATACTAGTGATTATGATTTAGGCAGCTTAAGGTAGAGAATGGGGGTAAAAAGCATGCTGTGGAATTCACCTACAATTCTTTGGAGGGTATCAGTGGCAGAGTATTGCTCAAAGGTTCTGTGTGTCAATTATGCTTAGGAAAGCTGCAATCAGAACTAATCTGCTCCTTCAATCCATGACCTTTTCCTCATGCCAAGAAGGTGGTCCCCTTGCACACAAAGCCTGGTGATAACTCTTAAAAGGCACACAATCTGGCCCCCTCTCTGCCCACTGCTACTGCTGCTTCAGCTCCTGCCCTCATCATTTAGCGCCTAGACAATTCGCCTGTTCTCCTTGTCTTTGAACTTGCATTTCTTCCACTCACACTCCACAGTAATGCCAGATACCCAAATATCAATCTGGTCACATTATTTTCCTACTTTAAATATTTCAATGCCTCACTACTACCAGAAGGATGAGATGTAAGGTCTTCGATTTTGCATTCGTAGCCCTTCCGGAACTGACCCTATCTAGGTTCCAACCTCCTCCACCTAAGTAACATGTTTCATGGTGTAATCCAGACATCCATGCGTCAGTCTTCCCAAACACACAGTGCCGCCTCTCCCTCCCTGTGTCTCTGCACCAGCAGATGAGTAGCCAACAGCTGGTCATGACACAGCGGGGGAAATGGGTGACTAAGTGAGATGATGGCTGTGTTAATTCATTCCCCTAGAGTAACCATATTACTATATATATATATCTTATAACATCATGTTGTATACCTTAAATATACACAATAAAATGTACTTTAAAAACCTCCTCTTCCCTCAGCCCCTGTCGTCTAAACTACTCAGACTTCATCTGTCAGCTCAAGCATCACATCCAAGTATGAAGCTTTGCACAAGCTCTCAGGGAACTATTTCCTCCTTCAACTGTTACCATAGCACCTTGGACAGAGCAGTTTACCCATCAGCCTCTACCACTGGACTGGAAGTCCCCCAAAGGCAGAAACCACCTCTCTACATCCATATGATGTGGGTATGGTTCCTACCACACAGATACTTAAAAGTTTGCTTCAGGGATGGAAGAAAAGAGGGAAGGCTGATTCTACTAAATGGAGTATCAAATACATATAATGGATTTTGAGAGCTTTTTTTCTTCCTAATGCCTTTGAAGCCCACAAACCCTTGGTTTCCAGGGCTCCACAGACAAATAATCTAAAATGATAAATGGATGTTCTGAATTACTTATGTTAGTATCAGCTACTTCCCTTTGTATTGAAGGCATGCCTCGAGGTAAAAAAAATTTTCTTTTTTTTTTTTTTTAAGATGGAGTCTCACTCTGTCGCCCAGGCTGGAGTGCAGTGGCACGATCTCAGCTCACTGCAAGCTCCATCTCCCAGATTCACGGCATTCTCCTGCCTCAGCCTCCTGAGTAGCTGGGACTACAGGTGCCCGCCCCCACGCCCGGCTAATTTTTTTGTATTTCTTTTAGTAGAGACGGGGTTTCACCATGTTAGCCAGGATGGTCTTGATCTCCTGACCTCGTGATCTGCCTGCCTCGGCCTCCCCAAGTGCTGGGATTACAGGCGTGAGCCACCGCACCTGGCCACAAAATTTTTAAAGAGTATCTTACTGTAGTTTGTCCCTGCTTCCCCAGAAAACACTTCCTTCAGCCTCCTAGGTTACTGTCAATCCCAGCAGCCAATGGATGGGCATGTCCCCATGTGTCCTTCTTGGGACAGGATCCATAGAAGAAATCTTTTCATGAAGGGATTCTCTGGTCAAAGAAGTCTGGAAAATACGGCACACTCCCTCCCTCAAACAGAGCTACTTCTTCCGAGCTTGGAGACACTCTCCAGTAAAGAAAACTCAAACTTTTTCAGACCATCATTTGCCATACTTAGGTGACTATCAAGTCTTTATTTCTGAGAATCACCCAGTAATATCCAATTCTTGAATTATACCAATTAAGAATCACAATTTTAAAACCTGGCATAAATTTTGCCTAGTGATGACATTGCCTCATTTTGTTCACGGACATAACAACATGGCCATTTCATGAAGACATTGCTTCCAGCCTAAAATACAGGAATGAACCTTGAAAAAAAATGATATAAGAAAAATAACTTAGCAGATTGTGTTTATCCCCACAGTACCATAAATAATTCCTAAACTTCTAAATTGCCTTTTTGCAGGGGAGAAAATAAAACTGAGCCACTGAGAGCACATCACTACCTGCCTGCAAAGCTGCAGTGATCCCATGAAGCAAGAGTTTCATAAATAGTTTAAATAAAATCCAATTATATGAGCATCCTCTTTTTCTCTCTTTTTTTTTAAAGGTCTCTAAGAATTTCTTTAAGAGGAAGAAAAACCCTGATTAACCAACCATATACACCCAAGTCCTGCTGCTAGGCAATTTTCTATGTGGTGCTATACAACAAAACACAATCCTCTATGGGTTTTATTAAGAAACTCTAGGCTGTTGAAGATTTGAGAGTTAAAATGAAATCTGAAAATTATATAATTTAGGCCCCTCATCTTACAGATGAAGAAACTGAGACCCACAGGACTTGCCCAAGATCTCCAGCCCAGCTGGTGGCCAGGCCTGACTGGAGCCAGGTCTTCACTCTGAGGCCAATGTGCTTCCCACTGCCCATCCTTGGAAACTGGGAATTGTACTGAGCAGCTGAGGGCAGAAAGAGCCACGAGCAAGCTTCAAAAATTAGGTCAGTTCCCCCCCGCCCCATTTTACTGTTTCCATGAGCCTGAAGAAAGAATAACGAACATTGGGATGAGGAGTGGGGGGTCCACCCACCCACACAGCCATCCATCTAATTTATATATGGATATTGAGTGTCTTCTATGTGCTAGGCATTGTTCTAGGAACTGGGAATACCATAGTGATCAAAACCAAAAAAATTCCCTGCCCTAATGAAGCTTACATTCCACTGATTCCAGAGTCTTCGACCTGAGACTAATTAAATTCAGACACCTGGCACTAAGATTTTTTCCTCTCTCTCTCTCTCTCTCTCTTTTTTTTTTTTTTTTTTTTTTTTTTTGAGACAGAGTCACGCCTTGTCACCCAGGCTGGAGTGCAATGGCGCAATCTCGGCTCACTGCAACCTCTGCCTCCCGGATTCAAGCGATTCTCCTGCCTCAGCCTCCCAAGTAGCTGGGATTACAGGCACCTGACACCATGCCCAGCTAATTTTTGTATTTTTAGTAGAGACGGGGCTTCACCATGTTGGTCAGGCTGGTCGCGAACTCCTGACCTTGTGATCCGCCCACATTGGCCTCCCAAAGTGCTCGGATTACAGGCTTGAGCCATTGCACCCAGCCTGCGCTAAAATTTTAAAAAGATTATATTGCGAACATATGCACGTGCGTGCATGCACACATACACACACACACACACACACACACACACACACACGAGGATCTTCCATATATCAGTGGCTTTTCAAAAACCTCCCATGTAGAGGACATTCCCACCACCAATCCCTGTCTGGTTTTCAGAACCACCACCACAGCCCACTAAAATACTGAGAAACTATTTCAGTGGCTTCTCTGCAGAGGGAGGGAAGTAAAAAAGTCAAGTTCTTTCCAAATATCCTTCCTGCTAAGTTAGAAAGGGAGGTGAAGAGGAAATACTTGAGAGAAATAAATGAGCTGAATTTTCTGTGAAATGATTTTGGAAGAGAGACTCTTAAGCATTCTATGAGCCCTCGGTAAGCTGAAAAAGAATATGACAACTACAATGTATGTTTTATCAGCCAGCTACAGCTGATCAACAAATCACTACAAAATCTCAGTGGCATGCAACAACCACCACCTGTCTGCGGGGCTGGGGCTCAGCTGGTCCAGACTGGCTGGGCTCCAGGCCCTGAGGTTGGTTCGGGTCCACTCCACATGCTTCTTACTGTTCTGGAACCAGCAAGCTACACAGGGCATGTTCACCTCATAATGGCAGAAGCTAAAAAGGGCAAAAAAACAACTGCCAAGTACATTTCAAGCCTCTTTTCCTGTCACATCTGCTAATTTCCCTTTAGCCAAAGCAGTTACAGGGGCAAGCTCCAAATCAACAGGGCAGAGAAGTATATTCTTCTCATAGCAGACAGTGCTTCAAAGTCAGGGAACCAAGTGCACAGATACAGGGAGGGGTGAAGAACTTGGAACAATACTACAGTCTGATAAAAGAAGGAACCACTTGCATCAATACCAACTTTGCCAAATTCCATTTCTTTTCCATCCACACCTTTTATTTGCTCACTCACAAACTGTGCCAACAGCTTCTACATGTAAAAAGCTAATGGTTAGACTGTGTTTTTGGCGTTACTGTTTCATGAATGGGAGAAGACAACAGGAAAAAGGATAACAGTTTAAAATGGAAAATTAAGTCCACATTGATGGGGGGAAACTGGAAAGTTAAATGGAAAGTGCTTTATATATCTGGCAAGCATACAAGACCTTAGACATTGAAATGAACATACAGGACAGAATCTCGGCTTTCCAGATGTTTCTTATATCTAGAAATCATGCCACAGACAGTACACAACACCTAACACAACAGTTGCAAAAACATCAGAAATGTAGACAGATACCACAGCTTGAGAGAAGTTGCCAAAGCCTTTATTTTTATTACAGTAATGGAAATACCAGAGGCCTGGTGTGGATGAGAAGCAGGATTAGGGAAAACTAAAAAACATAGGAGGACATAAATCCAATTCAGTGAAAAGGGCATCACTGGGGCTCCCAGGCAAGCTCTGAGCTACATTTCCTAGTCAAAGAAGCACATCCTAGAGTACGACTTCCCAGCCAAGGGAAACTGTCACCGAGGGTGGGACTAAATCTGACAGAACACTAGGAAAGAGAGGGTAAATGCTTGAAAGTCATTAAATATTTAGAATCCCAATGCTGAAAATATGAATGATAAGGCAGTAACATGAGAGACTTAAACTACAGAATCAAGCATGACAAGCAAAAGGGTTATCTTCATGAAACTTGCCAACTTACACCCACACACAATCCCCGGTGAAGTGACTTTTTTGGAGAATGATGTTATATAAAGAAACCTAAAGCTACTCAAAAAAAAGAAATGTGTGTGTGTGTGTATATATATATATATACACATTCCATTTATGAAAGAGCAACTTAAAAAAAGAACAGAAAAAGAAAAGCCACAAACCTGAAGAATATAATTGCAATACATAGAAATGACAAATGATTAGTAACCGATATAAATGTAGAATTCCTGCCAGTTTTAGAAGACAGAAATGAGCCTCACCCAAAAATGAACAAAAGAAAAACAATAAATGTTAAATAAATATATAAAATTGTGTTCAAACTTAACAGTAATAACCAGGTAAATTCAAATAAAAACCACAATATACCATTTGATTTAATTTATTATTTATTTATTTAATTTTTGAGAGAGGGTCTCACTCTACCACCCAGGCTGGAGTGGAGTGGCGGCTACTCTATGGCTCAGTGCAGCCCTGATCTCCTGGGCTCAAGTGATCCTCCCACTTCAGCCTCTAGGCTAGGACTACAGGTGCACCACCAAGCTCAGCTAGAGATACTATTTTAAACGTATCAGACTGCCAAAATAAGTTGAACAACGTCAAGTGTTAAAGAGGATGTAAAACACCAGGGAACTTTAGAAAGGCTCAAGACAATATAAATTGGGCCAACCACTTTGGGAAACAATTTGATGATACCCAAAGATGCTCGTAAGTGCTGACTTTTAGCAATTCTACCGCTAGGTAAAACATAGCTCAGTGAGACTCTTACACCTATACATTCAGAGGTGCAAGAATGTTCAGCAGTAGCATTTGTAATAGCAAAAAGAAAATCGTAACCAAGCAAATATTCATTAAAGAATGGATGAATGAACTATGGAACATTCATCCAGTAGAATATAAGCTGCAAAAAACAAAAGAACTAAAACTCTACTTATGACAACACAGATGAACTTCACACTAATGCATGAAAACCTAAAGTCATGAAAGGAGCTATACTGTGATTTCATTTGTTAAAACATAAAAGCACATGAAAGTCAACTTGTTTTACAATATAAATAGTAAAACTCTAATGAAAATCAAGGTAATAATACAAAATTCAGAATGTGATTGCTTATAGAAGGGAGGGAGAGAGGGAAGGAGTGAAGAAACTGACAGGGAGGGATACACAGAGGACTTCAACAAAGATGAGAATAAGGTTATCATTTGGAGTGAAAGAATAAAAAGAAAAACTTGCAGAATATATTCTAGCATCCTTTCTAGTCTCATTAGAAAATGGACTGAGTGGCTGGGCGCAGTGGCTCATGCCTGTAATCCCAACACTTTGGGAGGCCAAGGCAGGCAGATCACTTGAGGTCAGGAGTTCGAGACCAGCCTGGCCAAAATGGTGAAATCCGGTCTCTACTAAAAATACAAAAATTAGCCGGTTGTGGTGGCGCACACCTGTAGTCCCAGCTACTCAGAAGGCTGAGGCAGGAGAATCACCTGAAGCCGGGAGATGCAGGTTGCAAGGAGCCAAGATTGTGCCACTGCACTCCAGCCTGGGCAACAGAGAGAGACTCTGTCTCAAAAAAGAAAAAAAAAAAAAGAAAGAAAATGGACTGAGCCAACAGCTTCTGGGAACATGTTCAGTGACACTAGTGACCAGAAAAAAAGAAAGGGAATTAAAACACCACCAGTATAAACTGGATACTGTGGCACATGCCTGTACTCCCAGCTACTTGGGAGGTTGAGGTGGGAGGATCACTCGAGGCCAGGAGCTCAAGTCCAGCCTGGGCAACACAGTGAGACACCCCCCCTCCACTTCTAAAAAACAATAACAACAAAACACCAGTATACATTTTTTTCCTGTTAAATGTAAAGAGTAAAGAGATTGATAATGTTCAATATTGGTAAGGGTGTGGAAAAATCAACTCTTTCAAATACTGCAGGTACTTTTTTTCCAGTGTGCCTATGAATATGCATCATAAACCTAGGGAGGAAAAAACCAGTAATTCCACTTTTATAAACTTATCCCAGGAAAATATTAAGACAAGTGCACAGGACACATGGATAAAAATGTTATTGTCAACAACCCATCAACATGGGGGTGGCCAGAAAGATCCATCCACAGTGGCTGTGCAGCCACTGACAATGATGATGTAGATAAATATTTGGTAACATCAAAGGACACTTGTGTCACATTTCTTGCAGAAAAAATTAATACAAAAAATATTCAAAGTATGATTCTACTTTTTATAAAATATATATATAACTTCTATATGTAGGTATATCTGACAATTATAAATATGCATAAAGATTTACAGTTTTATATAGGAATTAAATTTTATAAAGAATCTATTTTATGTAGGATCATGGAATTACTTTCATTTTCATTTTTATATTTTATTTTCTTAATTTTTCAATGATTACAGATTGCTTTTATATCAGAAAAAAAGTCTCACCATCTTAGCTGTTTTGAAAAGGGAAAAAGGCTAAGTAAATATTTGAACAGACATCTCCATTCTGGCAGCTTGAAAATATGTCACTAGGAGGAACTTGAGGCAAAACCTACACATAAGGCTGACGTGTATTTGTTTGCTTTTCTGAATGGGCACTAAAAGGGGCAAGACTGACTTAAAGGAAGAGAGGAAAGTTAAGAAGGTGAAAGAAAGGAACGGAGAAGGAAGGGAGGGCAGGAGGAAGGAAGCGAGCCAGAGTTTCACAGATCTTAGACAATCTCAACTAACTGGCCTCAAAAATGTACCAGGCTTAATTCTGATTAATAAAGTTGACAGAGTAAATAGACAAGTGGAGCCAATACCACCACGTTTCCAGTACCACATATGTGTGTCACGCAATTATCCTTTCACCTGGAGTGCATTCACAACCCAAACTACAGTTCAGGTCCACTATGGGGGCATGAGCCCACCAGTCTATCCCTCTCTCTGATTACGACCAAAATCTCTAAACAACTAACAGAGGACTCTGAAAAGTAAAAAAACAGAAAAATTATACAGGAGAGTCAACACTTGGAAAGGCAACCCACACAGGGTGAAGTTCCTGCTTTGTTTTCTTCTCACATGATTTTGCCCCAAAGGTGAGCCCCAGTTGCATAGCTGCAAAACAACACAGGCAACTAAACTCAAAGAGAAGCCTGTCTGTGTGTCTGCAGATAAAGGGATTCTGCGAGTTGAGGAGTCTGAGGGTATGATCTTGGGGTAGAGAAAGCCCAGGAAAGGATGCCCGAATTCTATGTGGAAACCTGCACAGATATCAGCCTGACACTGGAGTGACACACGCACAGCACAGACTCCAACCAGCACAGAAAAGGCTGAGAAAACTGAACTGAGATCTGAACCACTCACACAAGTTGCAGACTAACCCCTTAAGTACAGGATGGACAAAAATAAGCACAACAAAGACTTACACTGAGAACTGAATCGCTGCCCCTAGGAAGCAGGTCCCACTCAAAGCCTAGAGCTCACCAGGTTGATCACCCTACTAAAACAGCAACAGTCACCACAGATGACAGGATGCCATTCAGAAAGTGCAATATACAATCCAAAATTTGTTTACAAACAACCAGGAAAATATCACCAATTCTTAACAAAAGTCAATCACAGGACGATCCAGACATTGGAACTATCAGATGCAGGTTCAGTATCCCTAATCCAAAAATCCAAAATCCAAAATGCTCCAAAATATGAAACTTTTTGAGCATGGACATGATGCCCATTAAGAGATGCACATTGGAGCATTTTGAATTTGGGATTTTTGAGTTAGGGATGCTGAAACAGTAAGTATAATGCAAATATTCCAAAATCCAAAAATCTGAAACACTTCTCATTCCAAGCATTTTGGATAATGGATATTCAACATGTATTTAAAGCAACCACTGTCACTTTGCTCTATGAGGTAAAGAAAAACAAACTTGATAGAAATGAAAATACAGGAATTCTCAGAAGAAAAATAGGAACTATAAAACAAAACCAAATGCAAATTTTAAAACAAAAAAAAAGCACTGAAATAAAAATATATTTGGTGATCAAGGCAGCAGAATGGAGATGACAGAGAACAAAATCAATTAACATGAAGATGGATCTGTGGAAATTATCCAATCTGAAAAACAGAAAGACAAAGATTAAAAAAAAAAAAGTAAGCAGAGTCTCAGGGTCTCCTGGGACAAAATCAAAAGATCTATCATAAGTGTGAGATAAAAGAAAACCATACCTAGACATATCAAAATCACATGGCTGAAAAACAAAAATGGGGGGGGGGGCGGGGGGTGGGTAGAAGCCTTGAAAGTAACTAAAGACAGCACAGTAAAAAATTATAGTTAATAATTTTTTTAAAAAAAAAGGAAAGATACTAGTATTTACAAGTGAAGAATGACTGAAAAGATTATGGATGTCTCTTTAGAACTATAGAGGCAGAAGACAATGGATCAACATCTTTAAGTTGCTGAGAAAAAAAATAAAAATCCATCAATCCGGAATTCTATATTCAATAAAAACATCCTTCAAACTAAAGGGGAAATAAAAACATTCTCACATAAAATAACGCTAAGAAATTATCACCACTTGACGTGGTCTATAAAAAATGCTAAGGAAAGTTTTTCTTATTGAAGGAAAAAAGAATAACCAGAAGGAAACATGTATTTTCAGGAATAAAGGAACAGCAAGAGAAATGGGAAACAGCTAAGTAAATATAAAAGAAAACTACTTTCCTCTTAATTTTTTAAAAAATGCATATGACTCCTTAAAGGAAAAGTGTAACATTGAATCACGAGGTTTTCAATGTATGTAGATGTAATATATGTAACTATAACAATATAAAGGTAACTGGGGAGGAAGGAAGACAAGACAGGAATGGATATTGTAATATAAATGAAACAGAGTCCAAGGAAAATTACCAGAGATAAAGAAAGACATTTCACAATGATAAAAGGAACAATTCCTCGTGAAAACATAACTACTATGAAAATATATGCACCTAATAATATGGCTTCAAAAAAACATAAAGAAAAATTGACAGATAAAAGGGTAAAATAGCCAAGTCCATAATCATAGTAGAAAATCTTACTCTTTTCTGAGCAACTGATAGAGTACTAAGACCAAAAAATCAGTAAACATAGAAAGAAGAGCTAAACACTATTCAATTACCTTGATGTAACTGACATTTATAGAACACTCCACTCATAGGCTTTTTGCTTCTAGAGAATGGAAATATATGTCCACACAAAGAATTTTACAATAAAACACTACTCCAAATAAAAAGGAATAAATTGATACACAGTACACACAACATGGATAAATCTCAAAATCATTATATGCTGAGTGAAAGAAGCCAGGTATAATGAATACACACTGTACAATTCCATTTATATAAAATAGTAGAAAATCCAAACTAATCTATAATGACAGCAGGTAGATCAGTGGTTGCCTGAAGACAGGGATGGGTGGAGGAACAGATTACAAAAAGGGCATGAGAAACAGTTGGGAATGAAAACATTTATCATCTTGATTGTGGTGATGGTTTCACTGGTGTATACGTATGTCAATAACTGATCAAACTGGACACTTTAAATATCTGCAGTTCATTACACTTCAATTATATCCCAAAAAAATTGGGAAAAATATTCAACCTATGCTATAGATAGGGTTTTCAAAGTATGGTCTGAATGTGAGTCATTCGTAAGAATTATCTAGGGTATTTGTTTAATATGCATATCTTGATCTCCATCCCAGACCTCCAGACTCTGATGCTCTATGAACAGACATTTTAAATAACCTCTCCAAGTAATTACTAGTCACACATCTGAGAATGACCACTTAAGGCCCAATTCAAAGACCATCTCCTTTATGAAGTCTCTACTGATCCAACTGACAGACATAGTTCCCTTTTCTCATCTCACAAAGCTCGTTCTCACAAAATGCATTTATATGCATGACTATGTTCTAACGATATAATCTTATCTGCCCTACTACACAGAACTACAAGTTTTCACAGGGAGAAGGTGTGTTTCATCCATTTTCCTAATTTCCTCTGTCCAGCACAGTGCCTTGCACACAAAAGACACTAATTATATAAAAGGCATGTTTATTACCAGTACAGCCTTGGTCCATGCTATTACAGATTCACCAACTGAGATCAACAACAGTGAACCATGTTAAGTATGTGTAGAGGCTATAGAGATCAACTACCAGAGACAGGGACAGACTGGAAATAGATTCATGCTGATATAGGAAAAGCAAAGAGAAAGTATATCCCTCCTTGCAAACAAGAACCTAACTAACTCTGGGATGCACATTTCAAATATCTATCGCATCAATATTCCATCCTGATTGTAACCAGGGAAAGGCCTGGCACCACCTTCTCTAATCCTTCTCTTCCCCACACATTGTGCCCACGGTACCCCTGTTATGAATACTTACCACATGGTACTGTAATCATTTGTTTGTATGTCTGTGTATTGTATGCTGTGATATTTTCAAAAGCAGGAGCAATGCTGATTCACTTCGCTATAGCCTTAGAAGGACTTTGAAGAAATATTTGATAAGCAAGCCAATAATGATCCTTCAAAACCGGAAGCTGTTCATGTACCTATTTATAAGGTTTTCCCCAAAGAGCCGATTTTTAAATTTTGACAAAAAGGTAAGGAAGGTAATTTCACTTTTAAAAAGATATTTTCAACTATCAAGCTTCTTCTCCCTCTTGGCCCATGTAAAATCTTCTAAACTTCACAGGGGCAAGGAATGGTAAATTCCTTCCTGGCATGATCACGGCTCATAGTTGTCCCAGTGATGGTTTTGGACGCGGTGCTCCATTTACTATGTGAAAAGACACAGCAGCCTGAGTCAACCCAGTGGGAGGCAAGTGTGTAGTATTTGGGGACGTGACTCAGTACTGTCCTCAAAATACCTCCCTAAGGAAAAAACAACCAAGTCAGCCTGAAAACGGTCACCACTCACATCACAATCACTCAGTCTAAGGATCCAGAAATCAACGGTGAAGACACTACGACTTAAGGAAGAAGAAATAAAGTAAAATGCTACAAGCCATTTAAAAGAGCTGTGTTCCACACATAAAAACACATATATGCCACAGTTGCTTAAATGTGTAATAAAATGTCTTCACTGACTTTTCAAATTAGCAATCTAATTTCATGCTTTAATTAAATACACTCTATCACAGGGAGAGAACACACATGGTGGCATAGCCCTTCCTTAGAGGTAACTACAGAACAAATAAAGTTTTGTTTGCTATGTATTTGTTTCATTTTGTTTCAGTTCTTTCATTCTACGTTAGGCAGAATGATTTATTTGAAATGAATTTTTAGCAACTTCAAAATCATGCAATTTACTATTTGGGGAGCATAGCTTATTAGTTAACTGTTGTCAGAAAGACTTGGCAAGTTTCACTAGCACTGTCTAGCTATTTGATCTGAATTACCTTTCTCCGGCTCTGTAAAACACGGGTTATAACAGCATCTACCTGGGAACCTTGTTATCATGGTTAAATGAAAGAAAGCATATACAGCATGCTTTATGGGATGCTGGCATACAGGAAGGGCTCAACTGATGTCTGCCACTATCATTGCTCCATCAGTTTCTTTGTTTTCTGGTTATTTTAGCACTCACCTGATTCTCTATAAGAACCTTAAAGGGGAGTCATCAATTATATTGTTTCTTGGAAGTTCTCTTTTAAAAGAGAAGGGAATGAAGAAAAGTAAAGAGAGGGGAAGAGCAGGGTGCAGGGAGGAAGAAGGAAGGGAGAGCAGGGGAGCAAATATAGAAGAAGAGATGGAAAGAATAGCGGAACTGCACGAGTGGGATAAAGTATACCTATTCGGTCTTTCTCCACGCCATAAGAACTCAAAAAACAGAAAATTTAGCTGCACTTACAAATGTCTGTGGTTAGTGACTGCCAGGCAGTTTACAGATTTTAACTACAGACATCCAAACACCTTCGAATTTGAGAACACAGAGCAGAACTTTGTCATAATAACTTCAAATTCAAATAGCAAAGTCTACACAGAATCCGTTCTATAAAATTGTCTCTTCTTCCATTTCCTTAGTTTCCTTCTCTTGTGAAATATTTAATTTAAATATTATGGCTGGGCGCAGTGGCTCATGCCTGTAATCCTAGAATTTTGGGAGGCCAAGGTGGGTGGATCACCTGAGGTCAAGAGTTCGAGACCAGCCTGGCCAACATGGTGAACTCCAATCCCTACTAAAAATACAAAAATTAGCCAGGTGTGGTGGAGGGTGCATGTAATCCCAGCTACTCAGGAGGCTGAGGCACAAGAATCGCTTGAACCCAGCGGGGGCAGAGGTTGCAGTGGGCTGAGATCACGCCACTTCACTCCAGCCTGGGCAACAGAGCGAGACTCTGTCTCAAAAATTAATTAATTAATTAATTCATTTTTATGTGTACAGTTTCCCCAAAACTCAAAGCACATCCTACCATCACTGCGAATCTCTGAAACATATTTACGACTTAGGTGTCTTTTTCACTTTGCCATTCCATTCAAGAATATCTAACGTGGCTGATCTAATTGCAGAACAGCAGCCTCATTAACGTGCAATAATGACTTGGAAATCTGTTTCAGATAACAATATTCAGCCAATTACTGTGTGAATAAACCTCATAAAAACCCATCAAGGATATTGGAAACCGTGCAAGGAAGCGCAATTCCAAGCAACAACTGATGTGTAAGCTGATCATCCCTGATTTGCTTTCTGAGCTTCAGCCCCCTGACACCAGGCACTCCTGGGAGGAAGCCTAGTAGTCATTGAAGTCTTTTTCTAAAAAACAAAACTATCAAATCATCACAGAGGTATTTGAAGTCAGCTCCTACTCAAGGAGAGATTAAATCTTTCATATTCACGCCCAGTATTTTATGTTTTCTGTTGAGATGCACATACAACTGTTAGGCTGATTTTCCTTTTCTTCCTGTTTATTACTCTTACTTTTCTTTTTCCCTGTAAAATCACTCACTCAGCATAAAATGGCAGACACAGACATGACTACAGGTCAAAGAGGTAACAAATTACACTTGGTTAGAAATTGTTTCTATCACAGGCAGGAACAACTTCTGTTTAAATATTTCCTACTAAGGGGACCCTCTGTTGACACATGGCTCTAGCCATTAGAAAAATTTTAAGTACAACAACATCAGCAGTTAATTTTTACTGAATGCTTGCTGTGTGCCAGACCCTTTGCTAAGCACTTGAGAGGAATCCCCTCAATCTATCCCCATAATGGAACTCTGAGGGTGTATCCTTGCACCCATCTTAAGCATGAGAAAGCCAAGGCTCGTGGGGTGATGAACCCTGCCTAAAGAGACACAGCTGTTAATTAACAGAAACCCTGGGTTTCCAGACACCCAAGCCCAGGCCTCACAACTTCTCCTCCCAGGTCCTGATGTCAACCTCTGTGCTCCCTCTCCTCTAGGACAGCTCTTCACCTATTTTAAAACTGCCCACGAAGCTTCCAGCCCTGTGCTGGGCTTTCTCCTGAGGCTTCCTCAGCAGGATGAAGAAGAATCTGGGAGCTTGTGGAGTCCAGGCCCCTGCAGATGGAGAGTACCTAAAAGTAAGAAGGGAAGGCCAGGCCTCCAGTCTCCCAGCCGAGGTAACACAAGCTCCTGCACTTCATGCACCCTGTCTCGTCACTCTCTGCTCATCCTCATTTTCCAAGCCCATGACCAGATATCATATCCTTACCCATGGTCTATTCACATTTCTTAGTTACCAAGAAGGACCTCTCTTCATTCTGCTACAGGAGGCTGGGCGGTGAACCCTGACTCAGAGCTGCCCTCCAAGGCCAAGCAGCAAATGTCCTTCTAAGGGAGCAGAGCCGGAAAGGTTTCCTGAACAATCCACATCAGTTCCTATCCAATTTGGTGCTCACTGCTTATGTAGTGAGCTCAAATGCCCAATCCAAACCAACTTTCCCTTTTTTTTTTGGAGGATTTATACTCTGAAAAAAAAAAATATATATATATGATTGGGATATAAAAAATATATATAATATATATTATATATAAAAAATATATATAATATATAATATATATTTTATATATTATATTTATAATATATTATATATTATATATAATACATAATATATATAATGTATAATATATAAATATATAATATATTATATATATATAATATATATATATATATATATATATTTTTTTTTTTTTTAAGACTGAGTGTTGCTCTTTCGCCCAGGCTGGCTGCAGTATAGCGATCTCGGCTCACTGCAACCTCCGCCTCCTGGGTTCAAGTGATTCTCCTGCCTCAGCCTCCCGAGTAGCTGGGATTATAGGCGCACCACCACACCCAGCTAATTTTTGTATTTTCAGTAGAGACAGGGTTTCACCATGTTGGCCAGGCTGGTCTCAAACTTCTGACCCCAGGTGATCCACCCACCTCAGCCTCCCAAAGTGCTGGGACGGCCTCCTAAAGTGCACGAGCCTGTAATATTTTTTAATTAATTAAATTATATTAAATTTTTTAATTAAATTCAGATAGTAACTTTCAAAAAAGTATTACATTCAGACAGTGACTTAAAAAATCAAATTCAGATAGTGACTTAAAAAAAATACCCAATTCAGATAGTGACTTAAAAATTACTCAATTCAGATAGTGACTTAAAAATTACTCAATTCAGATAGTGACTTAAAAAGAAACCTCACAGCTCTGAAATTACATTTAGAAGCCATCATTTTTATTAAGCAATGGTCTTACAGAAAAGAGCCAGACAGATCTTTCTGAAATGCCTATAGATATGCGTAGAATTCAATCAGCAACCTCGTGTTTCCATTTTCTCTCAGTCAGGTGGCGCCGCCTATGCAGAGGGAGGTGATGGATTAAGCATTAGGGGCCTAAGTGTTTTTACACTGCGTTTTAGTGTATTTATAAAATACTTGCTGAATTTGGGACACTATACTAAGTGCAGTAAGAACAAAAATGGATTATGCATTGTCTTTGTTCTTAAATAGTCTGAAAGACAAACTACACTCCTGTGACATGCAGCAAATGTCTTTGGGGCAATTACAAAGCAACGTATCAACAAATACGAAATCACAAAGTACAAATCCAGCAGCCAAGTGCTGACAAGGTGGATCTCCAAAGACAAAGAGCCTTTGCAAATACGGATGTGAGAAATAAGTTTTTCCAGGGCTTAGTATCAAAGACAAATCTAGAGGGGAATCTGAAGAGAGACCAGTGATGCCGCTGCCCGCATAGAAGTATGTAAATATCTACAAGTGTGCAACGGGGCTGCCTGAGAAGGGAGGGTTCCTTTAGAGCACGTGTAAATAAAATGTGGGATTCTTTTTTACCTGAATTGACCAGTTGTTGTTCCATCACCCCGCAGCCAAGAACTTCCAGCCATTCTCCATGAAAGTTGATCTCCATCTCAAAGGAAGGATGTGTAAAAGGGAAGTAGCAGTCTACCCATCTTATCTCCAGCTCTGCAAAGTTGCCAAAGAAACAAATAAGTAGTGTTAAATAGCTGTCTGCCCTTTCTTGTGATCAAATTTTCCCTTCTACTAATGACACCAATTACTACATTCTGAGTAAAATAAATAGCAAATAAACTAATTTGCAACATGTTAGGGTGAGGCAATAAATCTTAAAACTTGTGAAAAACTGGGCATGTCTTCTCCAATATAAAAAACACTTTGCGTAATTCCAGGACCCTCTGCAACCAAATCAATCACTTGTCAAATCCCTGCCACCAGCTGGCAGAAGAAAACACTAGGCCAAGATCATGGGAAAGCAAGTAATTCTGTTAGTTTCTATACATGAAAATGACATTATTTCAGAGTTAAAGAGAGTATATTTTTACTATATTTTCCTCCAAACTTACATATCAACAATATGACCAATTCAAGATAAACTGATCAACTTTTACTTCCATAAGTATATATAAATATATATATTATTTTTAAGTTTATAAAGCTAATAAAAAGTCAGATTAAACCAAATCTATCAGTCAATCTTAAGTAAAACATTTTTAAAGTCCAACATTTTTCCTACAGATGAATGATTAAAAAGCACATGCTAAATGCCAGAATGAATTTCTAAATAAGCAAACATAAATACAGCACTTTTGAGAAAAAGTGCTGTAATTTAAGCAATGGCCTTACTATTTAACAAGGGAAAAGACTAATGAATTCAAAACAATTAAAGCCTGCAAAGAGCAGAGGTCACTAAAAGCAGAGAAACCATATCAGAGGGTCACCTAGGAGCTTGATGCCCACTGAGAAGAACACAGAAAAAAGTGGGCATTTTGACAAATCCTGTGTTCCTGTCCCTGTGTCCCTTTCCCTTCCTGTGCCGACCTCTTCTTTTTTTAGGCAACACTTTGCTAAAGGACTCGATTCTCCATGGTAATATGAACATGCCCTCTTGTGAATTTAAAATACCATATGTTCTCACCCCAAACTACCTGCATGTTAAATCTTGTGGGAATCAAAATGTGAAGCAAATAAAAATAATGACAAAAATGGCTTCTATCTATTGAGGACTTACTATGCTTCTACCAACCCATTTCATAGATTCGGGAAAAAAAAAAAAGGCAATTGTCTTGCCCAAAGTCCCACAGCTAGCAGGTGACTGGGCCACTGTGCCAAACCCAGGTCTGCCCAACTCCAAAACCCCTGCTCTTGCTCTTGTTGTTTTTTTGTTTTGTGTTGTTTGATAGGATCTCACACTGTCACCCAGGCTGGACTGCAGTGGCTCCCCAATCATAGTTCATTGTAACTGCAAACTCCTGGGCTCAAGCAATCCTCCTGGCTCAGCCTCTGAGTAGCTGGGACTACAAGCACGCGTCATCATGCCTGGCTAATTTCTCTACTTTTTTTACTTTAGAGATGAGGTCTCGCTGTGTTGACCAGGCTGGTGTTGAACTTCTGGCCTCAAGCAATCCTCCTGACTCAAACTCCCAAAGTGCTGGGATTATAGGCAGGAGCCACGGCACTCGGCCCCAAAACCCAGCTCTTGACAGTTAAAACATAATTGCCTGCCCATCAAAAAAGATATTTTGAGAGTCAAACATTAGACAAGAGTGTAATTATCAAACACAGGGAGGCTTTCCTATGGCCCAGATTCCACAGGAGAAGGCAGATTTTTCTTTAATTGATTTGTTTTAATTGCATTTATTTTCCTTCTTAGCTGCTGTCTATGACAAGTGTCAACTGATTTCTGTTTACAACAGTAATACAATATTTCCCCCTCTTATTTTCTCTGTGTTAAATAGACAAACATTAAAGTGCACAGATATAAAGTGTATAATGTGACAAATGTTGACACAGATATGCACCCATGATACTGTCACCACAATCAAGACAATGAACATAAACATCACCTCCCAGCTTTCTCATGCCCCTTTGTAATCCTACCCACCTGCCCACTGCCCCACTCTTCTCCTGACCCCCCACATCTGTAGGCAACCACTGATTTGTTCTGCCACTATAGATGAGTTTGCATTTCCTAGAATTTTATAAAAATGAAAACATACAGAATGTACTCCTTTTTTTCTTGCTTCTTTCATCAGGGTTATTTTAAGATTCACCTGTGTTGTTGCACCTATCAATAGTTCATTCCTTTTTATTGCCGAGATCGCATCAACACTTTTTCTAACTGGGAAAAAAAAGCTGGTCTTGTTGCAGGCCGTTGGAGAACTGTCCCCACGTCCCCTGAGTAGTCGACTTTTCTGTGTGGAAGCTCAGACACGCAGAGCCACTGCTTATTTGGGACTGTATTCTGAGAAGAAGGGATTTATACACCTGTATCCCTGCCCATCTTTGGGACCAACAATTCCCTATCAATATTTTTGTAAAAAGCACCAGAGACAATCCTGCTAACAAACAGAAATATGTGAGGTCTTGGGACATGGAAGTGAGTGCAGAAGGACTGACAGACAAAATAATTTCTATCTTTCTTTTTTTATAACTCTTGGCACGTAAGCGGAAAACATTTTATGACAACAGTTTGGAACAATATATTTTGTGTACATGGCTTTGGATATTTGGCCTGAATTTTACCAAAAGCAGGAACAGGACTCAGGGTTAACATCATGATTTCATATAATTAAATATAATTAATTTTATGTAATTAAACATTACCTAAATGCTTGGAACACAGTGGTAAAGTAAGTGCTACACAAGTTTACTTTCTCAGTTTGCTCTTAGGTTCTGTTAAAAAAATCATTTTGGATAGGTTAAATAAATATGGAAGAGTTCAGTTATACAACTCCATCTCTCACAACTGTAATATCTTAGGTTCTCCCTAGTCCAAGAGGAAGACATTTCAAGACATTAATAAGCACTGAAAACAATTACAAGTGTTGATTAAAGTCATTCCATAATCAATGTTTATTAAACCCTAACTAAATGTCTACTGCATATGGTCTCATAGGAAGCCGCGTCTCCGCAGAGACAGGTCCCTGTTTACACACACCCACTAGAGCTGCTGGTGCTGATGGCGTCAGCACAACACAAGGATAGAACTGAGAAGTGATGTGATGGCTCTCCCTTCTCCAGGAACCTTCCTTCACTGAAGGGCTTTTGGTTTACCACTTCTATAATGAGAAAAAACAATTATAGCTTTGGATTGAAAATTTCTGTAATGTTGAACAAATTCTTAAGATAAAATATGTTTTATCAACCCTTGCTCTTTTTTTGGTTTAAGATCTCAGCCACCACAAGCCCTCAGTTTCTTCTTCCTCAATCATCCTGCAGGTGTCTTTTTTGGTAACAACGTGGGTAACTGCTCCACAGTGAAAACTACAGATAGCAAAGCAAGAAAAGCAGGGACGTTAGCCGATGTTTTTCAGAATCCACCAAGATGATAAACACGAACGATTTAATGGAGCAGAATCTATTGATACTACCATAGTAACTAAAACAGAAAACACAGACTGGTAAAAGTTGTGTCTAATGAGACCAGGAAGTTTTTAATCCTTTTTACCCCCTGAGATCCTCTGCTCAGTTTCGTTTTAAAATCTACATGACCCCACAAAGAATGCCAAATCTATACACCATTCATTTCCTTTGTTCTGCTACTTTAAGGACTTCTTCAGTTTTTAAGATTTGCCTCTTTCACATAAATAGACAAAAGTCAAAATCTGTGCTTTTGAAGTCTTATCCATAAAACCTTTGCCTACACCAATGTCCTGAAGTAATTCATCTGTTTTCTTCTAGTAGTTTTATGGTTTCGGGTCTTACATTTAAGTCTTCAAACCATTTTGAGTTGGGTTTGTATACGGTGAGAAAGACAGCACTTGCCCAGAATCATTTATTGAAGAGAATATCATGATGGATATGCTAATTTCCCTGATTCGATCATCACACATTGTATACATGTATTAAAATGTCACTCTGTACCCCATAAATGTGTACAATGATGTGTCAACTAAAAATAAAAAAGGCCAAAATTTGCAAAGCACTATTTTTGAGTACACTGTGTCTCTACTTCAAACATAAATAGTAATTATTTGAAAGTAAATTATATTAATGTGAACTTTTTCCCAATATACCATATTTTCTTACACATTTTAACAATTTAAATTTGTGACATTGAGGGCTGGACACAGTGGCTCATGCCTGTAATCCCAGTACTTCAGGAGGCTGAGGCGGACAGATTAGTTAAGATCAGGAGTTCGAGACCAGCCTTGCCAACATGGTGAAACCCCATCTCTACTAAAAATACAAAAATTAGTCGGGTGTGATGGCACATGCCTGTAGTACCAGCTACTTGGGAGGCTGAGTCACGAAAATTGCTTGAACCTGGGAGGTGGAGGTTGCGGTGAGCCAAGATTGCGCCACTGCACTCCAGCCTGGGTGAGAGAGTAAGGTTCAGTCTCAAATAAATAAATTAATTAATTGTTACATTGACACATTAACAGAGATTTTTAAAAAAATCATTGGTAGTGAAATTATTTCTTGAATACTTTGATATTACCCCCAAAATACACTTTCTTCTTGTTTTTCAATCTATGATCTCAAAATTACTGTAGGTATTATTATATCTAGTTGAAAAAGCATCTTGACATGCTTCTTGTATTAAAAGATACAATGCCAAATAACTAGCTCAAAACTATGTTGAGTGTGACTTATTTCACATGTCAAGTATTAGAAGTCAGAATATTTACTAAAAATTACGTATTTTGTGTTATATATTAATAGAGGAGAATTTTCAGTAAGCATATCCAAATCATATGGATTCATTATGCATAAGACTAACTTCTTATTGGGGCTATAGAGGAAAATTAAGTGCATATATGAACTATATATCTAGTGGAAAATAATGCCAAGGTTTTTTTTCCTATTTCCTTGTGTCTTTTAATTTCCTAAACCACACAGATGAAGCTCAGAGCTTTTTTAACGGCTTCAGAACTCTGAGATTACAGCAACTGTCAAAAATTATACACCTCAATTTTCAGCCTAGAGCCACATAAAAGAAAGTATACTTTAGGAAAAAAAACCACACCTGGGTTCAAGCCTCAGCCTTCTACCATTTTTCCTGTGAAACCGCGGGAAGCTTACTTATCCTCTTTGAGCCCCACCTGCCTCTTCTCTACACCGTGGATAATGATTGCCCTCACCCAGTGGTTTCAAGAAAAGACCCTGTGGGAGCCCAGGTTTTCTCAAGAGGCAGCAATCCTCTTTGGAGATCTGGACACTGACTCAAATTTCTCCTCTGAATAAGGATGTTGAGTTTGTTCAAGAATGAGGAGAGCCCAAAGTCCAGAAGCAATCACTCAAGTGGGACTTCAGAAATAAGTAGAAATACCTCCAGGACAGTGACATGAGCCCAAATGGAAGAGGTATAGCAAGAATTCTAAGCCTGTCTCAACTCCAGCAGGACATTACCTGCCACAGGGATGGGGAAGGCAGCACTGTACCTCGCCTGCTCTGTGTACCAGCCTCCCGACTTCTGCACCTTTGGCAAGACCAGCCAGGGACACTTGCAGGGCGGGTGTGTGTGTGTGTGTGTTTGGTCTCTTCCCACCAATCCCTGAAGGGCCTGAGCACTCTGTCTGACATACTATAAACATTTAAGTAGACGTCATTCCATTCCATCCCACCTTCGTTAAGGATCTCATTCTGAATAAACATCACGTTCCATTTCCCTGATTTATTGACTCATTAAAGAGATTCTTCTGCTGTTTCCCATACCGTTTGTATTTAAAGATGGGACTTTCCTATCAGAACTGCCTTCCACAGATGGTAGAATCTAAATTTTGAAAGATCAGTGGCCCAAACTAGAGCATATACCAGTGATTTTCTACACCAAACCAGGGGTACCCTCCATGAATAATTTTTTAAAATTAACTGAACAAATATGCCATTAACCACTGGTGTTTGGCATTATTTTCAAAATAGATTTTCCCTCAGTTGACACCAGAAAAATAGTAGAATATAGTGGTCTAATATCAGGGTTGCCACTCACACTTTCTGAACAGCTAGTATCCAAGGAAGGAAAGGAACGTGGAAAGAAAAAGGAAGGAGGGGACTCTCTGGCTGGAAACAAATTCTTAAAGAGCTGGGATCATCCTCGATAACCACAATCTAACCACGGGAAATCGTGCAGCCGCCACTGTCAAAGACATCTGATGATTCCATCTATTCTGCTTCTGTTGAAGACCCGCAACCTTTTGATAGAGCCCATTTTTTCATGATGTTTCAATAGTGCTCTAACAGCATTCTTTTATAAATTGTTTTGTTTTGAATAGGAAATATGTTCACAAGGTTCAAAATCAAAATACTATAACAGGATCCATCTCATTATGTAATAGGGCATGACAAAGAAGTCTCACTTACCTCCCTTTCCCATCTTACCCCAATCTCCTGGACCCTTACGGTAAACTCTCAGGGTTTCCTTTTTACTGCCAGATGTTAAGCCAATACAAATATCTGTTTCTATTTTCCTTCCTTTGTTATATAACAAGCAGCATAGTGTGTACTTTATTCGGCACCACGCTTTTTTCACTGAATGATGTGTCTGGAGGCCTCTCCACATGAATGCATAGAGCACGCCCTCAGTCCTTTTCTTACTCCTACCAAAGATTCCTGCATGTGGCCCACATTCATATAAGAAGTCTTACTGATACACACTTGGAGAATATTCAGTGTTGTGCTACTGAAAGCAATGCTGTGACTAAATACCCTGTTGAGTTGAAGAGTAAATGCTTTTATGATTTTAATAAATATTGCCAAAACGCCCTCGATAGGTGTTGTATAATATTTTGCACTAACATTAGCTCAATACTTTCCACAGGCGCCAAGGCCATAGAACTAACTGGTGGAAGAATACAATGAGAGTGTAGGTCCCAGACAAAGATCCAGGGCTTTGCTGATAAAAGAACACCAGCTCGACCCTCTTACGCAGCTCCCACTTAGATAAAGCAACAGTTGAGTACCCACAGACACGATTCCCAGGGCTGCCTTCCTTGCCCTTGCTGTTTACATCTCGTCTCTCCCCTAAGAGAAGAAAAGAGTGTCTTCTGGACTCAGTAAATGTGGCTGGCAGTCATAAGGAAGAGGAGGCACTTTTAAGGCCTGAAGCATCCATGTGGGAATACAAATACTGATTCTGTTTCCAAAGCCCACCTCACACGCAGCATGAAGTCATTCATGACCTACACTTCATCCCTATCTAGGGCCTTACAAACCTGGCAATGCCACCACTGTGACTCTTTAAGAGCGCCATATATATCCTATGCGTCCACACAACCATGTACCCTGGAGTCCAGCGCTGCAGAGTGCCAAGTGGAATAAAACCATTCCTACTACAAAGTTAATGGTAAATACCACCTCTTCCCTCTCACAGAGGGTAATAAAATCCTCCAGTGTGGGACCTCCCAAGCATACAGAAGATATTAACACTATTTCAGCCACAATGACTCCTGCTAAGACAAACACAAAGCAATAGGGGAAAAATAAAAGGCAGGCGATTTCCTCCACCATTGGCAATGGTATAACTGGTCCCACAGCTATTATTCTTCTGCTTGGCAGAAAGACCAATGTGTGCAAGTGCAGTTTCACACTGTTCCCCTGGGACTCCTCTACACAGGGATCCTTTTGACTAGTGCTTGGATCGTAAGATGATATGATCGTTTCTCTACCTCACAATGAAATGAGAAATGGAGTATGGCACAATTTAATGGGCCCCTCATTCTGAAATCTGGGTATGGGTTCAGAGGCACCAGGGTAAGTGATCACTCCCGTGCTCTCTATCAAGCAGCAGAGGGGACAGTCCAATAGCATCCCGGCCTCAGGCAGAGCCACAGCACAGCCCTTTGGTCCTCGATCCTCCTCGTCAACCTGTTCTCGAAGGAAACTATCTTCAGATCCCTGCAGGCTACACAGAGAGGCATTGTAAACAGAAGGCTCACACACCAGCCTCCACAAAGCTGGTCGGGTGGGGGACAGCCTGGATCTAAGAGCCAGCACAGATCTAGAAGCAAATCCCAGCTTTATCACTTGCAGCTGAGTGACCTCAGGCCAGTTACTTAACCTCGCACTGCTTCAATTTTGTCAAAAATAAGAATATCTCACAGAGTTTCTGTGACAATTCAGCATGGGGAAGTGTGTAAAAAGCCTAACACAGTACCTAGCAGCTCATTAACACTCAGTGGGTATTTTTTTTCATTGAATGTCATGAAATTCAGCTCATAATCTGAAACATCTCACTTTTTAATAAAATATGAAAAAATAAGCATGTCTAAATTGTGTTCCTGGGTAACTGACATTTACTGTTCATTTACTATATGCTGGGCACTGTGCTAAACACGTCCCATGCCTGCTCTCACTTCATGCTTACGCTGATGTGAGGCTGGCATATACACTGAACAATCGTTACTCTCATTCCCACTTTGCAGATGAGGGAAATGTGACTGCAACAGCTCACGTATCTAATCTCAGTTTACAGTAGAGAGTAAATGCCAGGATCAGAACCAGGTGTGTGGGACAGCACAGCCCCATGCTGCCCTCCACTGGAGCAGACAGTGCAACACCACATTAACTCAGCTTCCAACACAAAGCACACTCATGAGACCAAGAAGGCACGGTCTGTGTCCTTGTTCTCCTAACACACAACAGTGACATTTATGATTTAAAAAAAAAAGAGAGAGAGAGAGAGAGAACCAAACAGGCATAGTCTAAGTTGAAAGATAAAAGGTGATATGGTTTGGCTGTGTCCCCACCCAAATCTCATCTTGAATTCCCACGCATTGTGGAAGGGGCCCAGTGGGAGGTAACTGAATCATGGGGGCAGGTTTTCCCATGCTGTTCTCGTGATAGTGAATAAGTCTCATGAGATCTGACGGGTTTAAAAACAGGAGTTTCCCTGCACAAGCTCTCTTCTCTTGTCTGCCACCATGTCAGATGGGCCTTTCACCTTCTGCCATGATTGTGAGGCCTCCCCAGCCATATGAAACTGTGAGTCCATTAAGCCTATTTTTCCTCCCAGTCTCAGGTATGTTTTTATCACCAGTGTGAAAACAAACTAATACAGTAAATTGGTGCCAGCAGAGTGGGGCGCTGCTGAAAAGACATCCAAAAATGTGGAAGTGACTTTGAAACTGGGTAACAGGAAGAGGTTAGAATAGTTTGAAGAGCTCAGAAGAAAACAGAAAAATGTGGGAAAGTTTGAAATTCCCTAGAGACTTGTTGAATGGCTTTGACCAAAAGCTGATAGTGATATGGACAATGAAGTCCAGGCTGAGATGGTCTCAGATGGAGATGAGGAACTTGTTCGGAAATGGAGCAAAGTAACTTTTGTTATGTTTTAGCAAAGAGACTGGCAGCATTTTGCCTCTGTTTTAGAGATTTGTGGAACTTTGAACTTGAGAGACATGATTTAGAGTATCTGGCAGAAGAAATATCTAAGCAGCAAAGCATTCAAGAGGTGACTTGGGTGCTGTTAAAGGCATTTGGCTTTATAAGGAAAGCAGAGCATAAAAGTTTGGAAAATCTGTAGGCTGACAATGCGATAGAAAAGAAAATCCCATTTTCTGAGGAGAAATTCAAACTGGCTGCAGAAATTGGCATAAGTAACAAGAAGGTGAAAGTTAATCCCCAAGACAATGGGGAAAATGTCTCTGGGACATGTCAGAGGTCTTTGTGGCAGCCCTTCTCATCACAGGCCTGGAGGCCTACAAGGAAAAAGTGGTTTCATGAGCCAGGCCCAGGGTCCCCATGCTGTGTGCAGCCTAGGGACTTGGTGCCCTGTGTCCCAGTTGTTATGTGGCTGAAAGGGGTCAATGTAGAGCTCGGGCTGTGGCTTCGGAGGGTGCAGGCCTCAAACCTTAGCAGCTTCCATGTGGTGTGGAGCCTGTGAGTACACAGAAGTCAAGAATTGAGGTTTGGGAACCTCCACCTAGATTTCACAAGATGCATGGAAATGCCTGGATGCCCAGGCAGAAGTTTGCTGTAGGGGTGGAGTTCTCATGGAGAACCTCTGCTAGGGCAGTGCAGAAGGGAAATTTTGGGTAGGAGCCCCCACACAGAATCCCTGCTGGGGCACCACTTAGTGGAGCTGTGAGAAGGACGCCGTCCTCCAGACCCCTCCAGACCCCAGAATGGGTCTGGGGTCCACAACCAAGAAGAACCAGGAGCCTGCCTCCTGCAGGATGGCACACTGTGGGCTTGCGGCAGGAGGGAGGCAAAAAGCTTCAAGTCAGAGTCTGGGATGGGATAAGCTCCATGACGGTGCCAGAAGGAAGTCAACAGCTTGCACCAGGCACCTAGAAAAGCCGCAGACACTCAACACCAGCCTATGGAAGCAGCTTGGAAGGAGGCTGTACCCTGCAAAGCCACAGGGGCAGAGCTGCCCAAAACCATGGGAACATACCTCTTGCATCAGCAGGACCTGTATGTGAGACATGGCGTTGAAGGAGATCATTCTGGAGCTTTAAGATTTTACTGCCCCACTGGATTTCACACTTGCATGGGGCCTGGTAGCTCCTTTGTTTTGGCCAATTTCTCCCATTTGGAAAGGCTGTATTTACCCAATGCCAGTACCCCCATTGTATCTAGGAAGTAACTAACTTGCTTTGGATTTTACAGGGTCATAGACAAAAATGACTTGCCCTGTCTCAGATGAGATTTGAGACTGTGAACTTTTGAGTTAACACTGAAATGAGTTAAGACTTTGGGGCACTGTTGAGAAGGCATGATTGGTTTTGAAATGTGAGGACATGAGATTTGGGAGGGGCCAGGGATGGAATGATATGGTTTGGCTGTGTCCCCACCCAAATCTCATCTTGAATTCCCATGTGTTGTGGGAGGGGCACAGTGGGAAGTAATTGAATCATGGGGGTAGGTCTTTCTCATGCTGTTCTTGTTGCAGTGAATAAGTCTCACAAGAGTTGATGGTTTTAAAAATGGGAGTTTCCCTGCACAAGCTCTCTTTTCTTGCCTGCTGCCTTGTGAGACGTGTCTTTCGCCTTCTGCCACGATTGTAAGGCCTCCCCAGCCAGGTGGAACTGTAACTCCATTAAACCTGTTTTTCTTTCCAGTCTCGGGTATGTCTTTATCAGCAATGTGAAAATGGACTAATACAAAATGTAAACCTCCACAGGCCAGAAGCAAAACAGGAAGAGAGGATAAAGTGAGCCTGCTGGGCTTGGGGTCCACAACCAAGAAGAACCAGGAGCCTGCCTCCTGCAGGATGGCACACTGTGGGCTTGGGGCAGGAGGGAGGCAAAAAGCTTCAAGTCAGAGGCTGGGATGGGATAAGCTCCATGACGGTGCCAGAAGGAAGTCAAATACTGTCACCCAAATGCAGCATGGGGCTGTAGATCTAAGGAGCTTTAAGATTAGGGATCCAAGCCATAGGCCTAGGATCAGCTCCATCCCCTCATTGTATGGGTGCTAGACATCTGATGGATCCCTGGGAAATCTCACTCTGGATTTCAAGCCTAGAGAATTGGGTGGAATCACCTGCAAATCCACTTATAGGGTGAATAGTAAGAGACGGGGGATGGGGGAGAAGGACAGGAACGAAGAAAACAGAGAAACGGTAAAGAACAAAAAAACCTTCCTCTGAATATGACCCTGCAACCCAAAATTCTAAAACATATGGACAAATCTAATGCTAAGTAATACAGCCAGCAGAACAAATAATCAAACATTAACTTACCTCAGTTGAGATTATTTTTATGAAACAATCTGAGACTTTAAAATAAGTGTGTTTTAGATATCTTAAGAGATACATGAAAGCACAATTCACTGATGTGTTCTAGAAAATAAAATTCATAAAAATTCTGGTTTTGTAAAACAGATCTAAAAATGCATCTTTAGGATTGTATCCATCTCCCAGTCAAATTCTTCTCTGAGAAGGAAAACACCAGCCACCCTTTCAAAGAGTTCCTGTCACAAACATTAAGCTGCATCAGAAAAGAAGACCAAAAAAGACACAGAGAGTAAGTGATGAGAGAGATGTAAGAATATAATGAAGGCGAAGAGGGGAATGAGATGTAATAGAAAATTGCAGGAAGGAAGGTCCAGAAGGAGTAGCCAAACGATTCAAATGAAAAAGAGAAACTTCCACATCTGGACAGGATGGAATAATAAACCAGTTTTACCCTTCCATATGAAAAACTAATAATAATAATAATAATAATAAAAAGACAAATATATAAAATCACACCACTCAAAACAGAGGACACCAGGTGACCAAGGACACAGACCCCCCAGAGGGGTGAGACCTAAGGAGAACATGGGAGAGCCCAAAAGTCTCCTTGATTTGAGGAGACAGAGCCGGGAGTCTGGACAAGTCAGGATAGCTAGAATTCTCAGGGCAGAGTAAAGGAGAGAAGAGAGCTGCGCGAAGAACTCTGGAGATCTGCAGAAGAACCCCTTCAGCATTCAACTGAACACTGATCATGTGTGTTGAAAAATCTACCTGAGGTCAGGGAACAAACCACACAAAAGGATTAGAGGGAATAAAGTTGGAGCTCACACAGGACCAGGAATAGTGCCAGTTCTCAACAGCCAAGGGGAAAACCTCATAATTCACGGGTTATCGGTTACAGAGCTAAGACAGGTCTCGCATAGGTAGTGGGCAAAACTATCCCCAGACGAAACTCTATACTGGTCCTGCCTAGTAAGGCTTAAAAAGAAGACCTAAATGGATCAAAGTGTTTCTAAGTAATCCCAGAATAAAGCTCGCGGATATTAGGAAGGTAAAAAATATCCAATGCATCAGAAGGTAAAATTAACAATGTTTGGCAATATCCTATAGTAAATTACCAGGCATGCAAAATAGAAACAAAATACATAATACAAAGTACAGAAGAATCAAAAGCAATTCACCAAGGAATGACAGATGTCAGAATTAGTAGGAAAAAATGTGTTAAAATATGTATTATATATTCGTTATGTTCAAAAAGCTAGAAGAAAGACTAAACACGTTAAGTAGAAACAGGGATGATATTAAAAAGATCCAAACTGAAGCAAATGAATGAGATGAAAAATACACAGGAAGGAGTTAACAGAAAATTAGACACTGTAGAAGAAATATTGGTAAACTTGAAGATAAAGCAATAGAAATTATCCAAAATGCAATATAGAAGGAAAAAAAAATCACTGAAAGAAAAATGAACAGAGCACCAGTAGTGGAAAAGTTTTAAGTGGCCACATACACATGCAAGTGGAGTACCTAAAGGAGGAGAGTAACAGAAAGTATCTGAAGAAATAATTGACCACAATTTTCCAGATTTCACGAAAAATATAAATCCAAGAAGCTCAACCAATTCCAAACATAAGAAATCTGAAGAAAACTGTATCTATGTACATCATAATCAAACTGCTTAAAACCAGTGACAAAGAAAACATTGCAAAACGACTCAGAGAGAAGAGACACATTATGTACAGAAAAACAAAGACAAAAGCAAAGTTAAGAGCAGATTTCTCACAGGAAACAGGGCAAGTGAGAAGAGATCTAGGAATATCACCTCTAAAAAACTAAAAGGGCCAGGGCACAGTGGCTCATACCTGTAATCCCAGCAGTCTGGGAGGCCGAGGAAGGAGAATCACTTGAGGCCAGGAGTTCAAGACCAGCCTGGGCAACATGGTGACACCCCATCTCTCTACAATTTTTTTTTTATTTTAAAAGTTAGCGGGGTGTGGTGGTGCACACCTGTAGTCCCAGCTCCTCAGGAGGCTGAAGTAAAAGGATCCTTTGAGCCCAGGACTTGGAGGCTGCAGTGGGCCATGATCACGCCATTGCACTCCAGCCTAAGTGACAGAGCAAGACCCTATCTCAAAAATAAATACACAGAGGTAAAAAAAACTATTAATCTAGAATTCTTTTCCCAGTGAAAATATCTCAAAAATAAAGGCAAAATAAAAGCTTTATGGACATACAAATGCAAAAGAATTCATCACTAGCAGAAGCAGACCTTCTGCTGTGCAGAAGGAAAATATCAGTTGGGAACCCAGATGAAGAGCACTGAAGATGGTAAGGACCTAGGAGATATAAAGACTTTTCTTACTATTTAAATATCTTTAAAAGCTGATCAACTATTCAAAGCAAAAACAATCATAACGTATTTAGGAGTTGATAGTATACATAAGAATTAAAATATGTGACGGCACAAAGGCCAAGATGGGAAACAGGGAAGTCTGCTGTTCTTACGCTATACAGAAGTGGGGTAACAGCACTCAAAGTGAAGTGAGACTGTGATAACTGTAAATCCTAAAGCAACTGCTACAATAACAAAACAAAAAGTTACCCCTCATAAGACAAAGGAAATAAAATGGAATAATAAAAAATACAATTAATCCAAACAAAGTAAGAGAACAAAGAAAAAAAATGTTACTCATAGAAAGCAAATAGCAAAATGATCATTTCAATCCAACAACATCAATAATAACATCAAATGTAAACAATCTAATTAAAATAACTTTGAAAAAAGAACAAAGTTACAAGAATTTAACCGATTTTAAGGCATTATAAAGCTACTGTGATAAAGACAGTGAAGTATTGTGTCAAGATAGACAAATAACAGATGCATGGAACAGAATAGAGAGTCCAGAAATAGCCCCAGACATACATGGTTAATTGATTCCAGACAATGGTACGAAGACTTTGCAGTGCAGAAGGAAAGGTCATTTCAACAAACGATGCTGGAACAACTGGATATCAATATGGAAAACAAAATTTCAATCCGTACCTCAGATCATCCATAAAATTCTTCAAAGGAATCACAAATCTAAATATAAAACTGAAAACTATAAAACTTCTACAAGAAAACATAGTAGAAAAATCTTTGTGACCTTGGGTTAGGAAAGATGTCCGAGAAACAATATCAAAAGCATAATCCATAAAAGAAAAAAATTGGTTAACTGGGTTTCATCAAAGTTAAAGAACTTCTGCCTTTTGAGGAACAACACTAATGAAAAGACTGAGTGAAAATATTGCAAATCCCACATCCCACAAAAGAATCATATCCAAAATTCACAGTTTCAAAAATCAATAAAAAGATAATAGGGCCAGGCGCAATAGCTCACACCTGTAATCCCAGCACTTTGGGAGGCCAATGTGGGCAGACTGCTTGAGCCCAGGAGTTCAAGACCAGCCTGGACAATATAGTGAGACCCCATCTCTACAAAATATAAACAAAATTAACTGGCATTGTGATGAGCACCTGTAATCCCCATTACTTGGGAGGCTGAAGTGGGCGCATCGCTTGACCTGGGAGGTCAAGGATGCAGTGAGCTGAGATCATGCCACTTCACTCCAGCCTGGGCAAAAGAGCAAGACCAAAAAAAAGAAAGAAAACAAATGGGCAAAATATTTGAATACTTTGCCAAATAGTTATATGAATGCAAATAAGTACATAATATTCAGCATCATTATCAACTAAGAAAACACAAATTAGGCAGGGAGCGGTGGCTCACGCCTGTAATCCCAACACTTTGGGAGGCCGAGGTGGGTGAATCACCTGAGGTCAGGAGTTCCAGGCCAGCCTAGCTAACATAGCGAAACTCTGTCTCTACTAAAAATACAAAAATTACCTAGGCGTGGTGGCGTGCACCTGTAATCCCAGCTACTTGGGAGGCTGAGGTGGGAGAGAACTGCTTGAACCCAGGAGGTGGAGGTTGCAGTGAGCTGAGATCACACCACTGCACTCCAGCCTTGGCGACAGAGCAAGACTCTGTCTCAAAAAAAAAAAAAAAAAAAAAAGAAAAGAAAAGAAAATACAAATTAAAATCATAATCAGATACCACTACACTCCTATCAGAATGGCTAAAATTACAATGACTATAACAAGTGCTAGCAAAAATGAGGAGCAACTTCCACTCCTAGGCACTGCTAGTGGAAATGTAACATGGTACAAGCAGTTGAACAGTTCGACAGTTTCTTTAAAAGTTAGTCATGGCCGGGTGCGGTGGCTCACGCCTGTAATCCCAGCATTTTGGGAGGCCAAGGCAGGTGCATCATGAGGTCAGGAGTTCAAGACCAGCCTGGCCAAGTTGGTGAAACCCGGTCTCTACTAAAAATACAAAAAAAAATTACCCAGGCATGGTGGCGGGTGCCTGTAATCTCAGCTACTCGCGGGGCTGAGGCAGAGAATTGCTTGAACCCAGGAGACGGAGGTTGCAGTGAGCCGAGATCGCGATGCTGCACTCAAGCCTGGGTGACAGAGTGAGACTCTGTCTCAAAAAAAAAAAAAAAAAAAAAACAGTCATATACCTACCATGCAGCCATTCCATTTGTAGCTATTTACTCAAGAAAAAAAAAAGCGATGTCCATATAAAGACTTGTCCACAAATATTTATAGAAGCTTCATTTGCAATAGCCAAAACCTGGAAACAACCCAAATAGCCAACAATAGGTGGATGAATACACATATTGTGGAATATCAATACAATGTAATACCCTACTTAGTAACAAAAAGGAATGAAGTATTGATAACACGCTACAAAATGCATGAATCTCAAAATAATTATGCTGAGTGAAAGAAGCCAGAGAATACATACAATAGGATTTCCTTGAACATAAATCTAGAAAATGGTAACCAACCTATAGTAACAGAAAGCAGATCACTAGTTACCTAGGCCTGGTGGGTAGGGAGAGTGGGCAGAAGAGGTGGTAGAGGGACGGTGAAGGAGCACAAGGAAACGTTTTGGGGTGATGAGTATATCTTGATTGTGGTGATGGTTTAGTGTGTGTATAATTATGTCAAAAGTTATCAAATTGTACACTTTAGTTTATTGGAAGCCCATTATAATTCAATAAACAAAAGAGTAAGCAGAAAGATTCAGCATAATAAGTGTTTTCCCCAATCTGTTGAATTTTATAATTTGGAAATCAATCGTGACCTCAACAGAAACCATTAGAATGAACTAACCACTGCTGCCTCTGTCGGGCAGCAATTGGAAGGTATATTTCATAAACTGTAGCTGAAAAGGACAGTAAGTTTCCAGAGAAAGATGGATCATCAAATAATGGTAGTTGTTTGTTTTATTGTGAGATGACATCATTTAGGGTATATTTAAAGCTGATGAAACAAAATTCTAGAGAAACCGATGGGCTGGTAATCAGCAGTCCAACTAAGCACAAAATCCACAGCCAGTCACCTAGATTTTCTCAGTAAAATACAGCTTATCCTCTGACAAAGAATAGAAAAATGGAGACTGAAAAAATGGTGTGGAATAACAGAAAAAAAGGGATTTGTACAGTGAGCTGACCAAAATAAGAAAGAAGAGAGCCACCAACCTTGACCTGGCTAAGGTGGCAAATCTGAGCTGCTACAGGAGGGGGAAGCATAAAGAGATTTGGGCACATATTCAAGGCTAGGTTTTCATCAAGTGTCCAGTGCAAGTCAAAGGAGTGAAGGAGTTAAAGTGGTTGATAACAGAGTTCTGATAACTAACTTTATGCTGATGATCAATTCCTTAGTAGAGCTAGAAGACAGGCCAGAAGAGAAGTGGCTGAAATCAATCAGGAAATTGAGCTTTCTATGAACCTAAAGAGTAGAAGGAGAATCTTCCCTCTCTCCCTAAATCTTAATGGTTTCTAGGTCACCTGTATACCAACCACCTGAGAGTTATTAGTACCAGTAAAAATAGTTTGCAATGGGTGTAGTTCCAGGCACACTGATGGTTTTCATTACAGCAGCCCTAAAATTTTCAGTGCCTTTTTCTCTGTACCTTAAGATCCAATAATTTTATTTTAATTAACATAAAACCCCAAACAATTTCAATTTATTATTTCCCTAGATTAGTGAACCTCTCTGTTATCCTCTGCCCAACTGCCATAGAATCAGGAAGGTTTCTGGGCTCCTTAAAAGTATTATAGTTCAGCTCAACTATTGCTATCTCAACCTTTCTCTAAAGAGGTTCCCTTGTACCAATTCCTTAGCCCCAACAGATCAACCCTAGTATATATTTTCCCACTTCACTAGACATCTAAGGAAAAGTGTGTCTTAGGCCTCTCTCCACCTGATTCCTAGGGTGGTGTCTTATTTCCACTGAGTCCCTCCACTGGCTTAAAGCGAGGCACTTCACTTTTCACAGTTAATGATCCCAAGTCTCAGAGGTTGAAGGTGTTGGCCCGTTTTTATCGGAAAGAGCAACCTGCTCTAGACTACATCTAAGCTACGGCGAGGCGAGTACAGACAAGTCAAAATTGCTTGAATGCAACAACTGCCTTGGCTACTTCGCTGTCTAGGAGTACTCTGAGAAGGATAACACTCCCCAAGCCAGGCAACAGCAGCCAGCCCAAAAGAGCTGATTTAAAAATTAATAAAGTGATACACACTTACAATTTTTGATGTGATTCCATTTAGGAAGAATGTAGCACTAACAATTAATTATAAATCTAATTCTTACTCTTGATCCCTTTCACTTCATTTATACTAATAGAGCCTCATGGATAAAAAAATATGAAAAGGTATGGAAGACGTGATTCCTTATTACACATGATCAAGTGATTTCACTCCTGACCAGGACATCACTCACAACACAGGGCCCTAGAATGTTTCTGCTGGATGGGACCATGTATAGGTCCCTATGCAGGTTGGGCTGGCAAGCACGTTATCTGAAGGGAATCAACACGTGTGGATGAAGACAGTGGCAGCAAACTGGGCAGAGGGAGAAGTCAACGAACTACAGTCAGGCCAATGAAGCCTTTACCTTGCCAGAGGTCTGGAGCAGACAGCCCATCAGAATGGCCCATGGAGGGCCTTTGTATTCTTGCCACATTCAGTCTTCGGATGTGGGCTGCCCCAGGAAGGGCATGTCTTTGGGCAAGGAGGCTCCCTGCAGCTGAGGCAATTCCCCAAGAAGCTGACAGCTGCAGGCGATCGGCAATCCCATCAGCCTGGACCCTCGGAGGGCATGCTGGGAGGTGCATTTCAATGACCACCACAGGTCTTTTAACAAGCAAAGACAAGACATGACTCCCCCAAGGGTCCCAATCCATCTCTCCTTCACACTAATTAATCTAAACTGTGCTACAAGGCCAATCCTTTAGAAAGGGAAATGCCAATGTTTAGCAAAGAAACTGTGCCAAAGAAAGGCTGGAAACTCAAGGACAGAAAGAGAAATTTAAAAGTTAGAAATCCTAAATCCCCACCTTGGTTACTCTGAAAGAAATGATCTACTAAGCACAGTACAAAATATACAGAAAACACTCGAGAAATATTAAAAATGACAACAAAATCCACAAGCATAAAAATAGTCTAAAGAGTTATTTTATTTCTTTCTAATTCTAAAATGATAACCTTTCTTATAATAGCCTTAGGATGCTGGTACAATTGAAATGTTAGCAGAAAATAATAAACCACATTTGGACAGGAAAAAAACCTGAAACTAAAGCAGCTGTAATAACATACTGCCACAAGGAAATAGTGTGTTCTAATTTTTAATTTTGCTTTTCAAGAACAAAGGAATCCAATAATAATAATAAAAGGTGAAAAGCCTGGACCATAAAAACAAATATAAAAAGAGTTGCTCAATATTTCTGAGGCCTGTAGAGGCAGTTCCCATTCATCACTAATTATAGAAAGAGTGAACCTTAAGTTTTTAAATGGTCTTTGCTACCCAGAATGTAATTGGATATGATGTAGTAAATGGAGGCTTTACCACAAGCTAGCTACCAGGAGGCACTGAATGGGAAGAGAAGGTAAAGGAAAGAATCAGAGGCAGAATCAGAGGCAGCACCTAGAGAGAAGACGATTTTTTGTTTTGTTTTGTTTTGTTTTGTTTTAAAGAGACAGGATCTCAGTCTGTTGGCCAGGCTGGAGTGCAGGGGCATGATCATATCTCACTGCAGCCTTGGACTCCTGGGCTTAAGCAATCCTCCTGCCTCAGCCTCCTAAGTAGCTGGGACTACAGGCGTGAGCCATTGGGCCTGGCCCTGATTTTTGTTGTTGTTGTTGTTTGGCCAGGGGGACATCATGGCTTTTATAGGCCTCACAGTCTCTGAAATATTACTAATAAGATTTCTTTGTATCCTATCCAAAAGCTAACTTCTGGTATGGCCTTAGAAGTCAGCCTGTGGGCTCGAACTGCCTCAAATACTTACCAGCCCTGTGATTTTTACATGGCACTTTTTCTCTGTGTCTAGGTTCCTGCATCTGAAAAACGGAGATTGTAACACCCATATCATAGAGATGGTTTAAAAATTTTTAAAGTGATACACACTTAAAATTTTTGATGTGATTCCATTTAAGAAGAATGTAGCACTAACAATTAATTATAAACCTAATTTTTACTCTCAATACAACATCTGAAAAACAGAGATTGTAACACCCATATCATAGATGCACGTCAAAAGAAAAAACTCCTTGTCAACGTGCTTAGCACAGGGTTTCACACTGTTAACTATTATCTCTATCGTCACCATTATTACCATTATTATTGCTATTATTAATGTAAATTTAATCCAGGTTGATGGCACCTAGATAGGTTTACCAAGACATTTTTCAGAAGCTAGCAAAATTACTTAATTAATAAACCAACCAACAGCAAGAACCCAAAACCCATAACTAATTAGTGCTTCTGAAATGCCTGAAATAGAACAACGCGGCCAGGTGCAGTGGCTCACGCCTGTAATCCCAGCACTTTGGGTGTCCAAAGTGGGTGAATCACCTGAGGTCAGGAGTTCGAGACCAGTGTGGACAACATGGTGAAACCCCGTCTCTACTAAAAATACAAAATACAAAAAAGTAGCCAGGTGTGGTGGCGCACGCCTGTAATCCCAGCTACGTGGGAGGCTGAGGCATGAGAATCGCGGGAACCCAGGAGGCAGAGTTTGCAGTGAACTGAGATCACACCACTGCACTTTAGCTTGGATGACAGAGTGAGACTCCATCTCAAAAAAAAAAAAAACAAAAAAACACAAAAACGAACAAAGCACTTTTCTTCAGAGTTCAGAAGAAACAGCTGAGAATCCTGAAAGCATTGTTAACATTCAGTGTGAGCATGAAGGAAGCACACAGCACTGTCTGTGTTCTGTGATACAGACCCTCTCACTCTTCTAGTTCATCAGATGGGCCCAGGTTCCAGTCACCTTCCCACTTCACTTCACATCTCCCCTGAGAGGCAATACAGCGGACGTCACAAACACGGCAAACACGGTCGGGGACAAGCTCACACACCTCTACAACAACAGCTCGTGGCAACACAACCGGCAGAAACACACCAGGGCATGGCAAGGGTGTGTGAATGAGGCACCTTTCAGCAGTTTCAGGATGCCTGGCCACTGTGTGGATGGGGTTAAAAATGACCATGGCTCAAAGGAAAGAAGAAAAAGAAAAGGCTTTCTTCCCAGATAGATTCTGATGCGTGTGAACCAACATGTATTATCCAAGCAGGTGGATTTTTAAACTTTAATTCCATTCCATAATTCTGCCAGCTCAGTCTTACAGACAAAAAGTGAATTTGAACATTTATAAAATAGCAACATCGATCTGTAATAAAAGCTGACTACCAAAAGTCTAGGCTGACAATATTTTTAAAACAATAAAGCAACATATGCCGAAATGAAAGAAGCTACAAGTTCACTGCTATTCTAAAATTTAAGTTTCTTTTTTTTTTTGAGTCAGTCTCGCTCTGTTGCCCAGGCTGGAGTACGGTGGTGCAATCTTGGCTCACTGCAACCTCCGCCTCTCAGGTTCAAGCGATTCTCCTGCCTCAGCCTCCTGAGTAGCCGGGACTACAGGCGTGTGCCACCACGCCCAGCTAATTTTTTTGTATTTTTAGTAGAGATGGGGGTTTCACCATGTTAGACAGGAGGTCTTGATCTCCTGACCTCATGATCTACCCAACTCGGCCTCCCCAAGTGCTGGTATTACAGGTGTGAGCCACCGCGCCTGGCCCAAATTTAAGATTCTTAATTCTTGGCCAGGATCATGCCCACCATGTCAGGACAGGCATCACAGTCAGAAAAGTCATATATTGCATAAATTGTTTTTTGTAAGGAAACCTGACATCTGCATTTGAAAGCTACGCAAATACAAATATAAAAAATAACACAAAGGAAAGTCTAGGACCATATTTTCAGAGAGATATATATCCTGAAACACCTTGGACAGCTTATATAATCTATACAGAGGCCAGCACATGGCTTACTTTTTAAAATATCTCCTGGTGCAGATATGAAAGCCACCATCAGCACCAATAAGGCTACGGTGCCACAGTCTGGTACACAGCTCCTTCTTGTTCCCTCAGACATGATAAAGGCGAATCAGCCATGACCGTTGCTCTTTGATCGTATTACTCTTTCGTCATGTGCTCCCTGCTTTTATTGTCTTGTCTTAACTTTCCTTTCCTTCCTTCCTTCTTCCGTTTGTTCATATTTACATATTTATCTGATATTTTTTACTTACAAGGCATCTTTCACGTTATCTTGTTTTATTCTTGAGTGAAGCAAGTATCATCACAACTTTTAAAAGTTAGAAAACTGAGACCTGAAATGCTACGTGACCTGTTCAGGACTTCAGAGTAAGGGGATGAACAGGAGCTTCATTTTAAGTTTTCTGATTCTACACTACCGTTTCTCCATGGTCATAAGAGTCTACTGTCAATCATTTTTCTTCCCCTTGCCTCTTCTTTCCTTCTTTCCGTGGACTGTGCTGCATCATGCTTGCTCTCCACAAGTACTTGTGTCACCTGCTTTGTCATTTTTCACCCCATTCTTCTGCCCCCCCACCTTGCTTATCCTTTCCCAAGGCTAATTCCCACTTACCAGGTGTCAGCGTGCATGTGCCTCAGCAGGAGCCTTCCAGGAGCACAGGCTGGGCTCAGGAGGAGGCGCCTTGCCTGTGTGCTCGGAGAACATCCTATGTTTCCCAAGGAGAGAGCTCAAGATCCAAGGCTCCATGGCTCTTTGAAGACAGGGAGTATGGCTAGCTTATTCAATATTGTGATGCCTGCAACAGGGTGCAAATCCAGCTTCTAAACCTCACCAAACAGCAAATCATTTGATTATAGAAATATGTAGGATGACATAAATAAGGAGGATGCTAAAAAAAATTCTCTCCATAGTTTGGCAATGGAAAAATTCAGATGAGCCTGAATCTTTCTGTTAAGACACAATGCTACCTCCTTAAAATACTAGAATCCCTTCTACCTCACCCTGCCTCTAAAATGGCCTGAACAGCTCAATCCATCTCCCTGCATTTGTGTTAAACAGATGATATAAATGTTTAAAATATCACAATTCCTTTCTTTTATCATGAAAGCAAAGAGATGCTGGCTATCATAGGTTTTTCACATCAGCAATTTCTATTTGAAACCTATTTCACTATTATATTACGCCATTTTAATGAAATATATCAAACCTAGAGACAGGAAGAGAAAATAGCAACCACCCATATACTCATTATTCAGTTTTATCAAACCATAACATTTTGTCATATTTAACTTTAGTTTAAAAAAAAAAACATTATAAATCCATTTGAAACATGGTTTCCACCCCTCCCTAATACCATTTCCCACTTCCTAGAAAAACATTATCCTGAAGTTGATGTGCACTTTTTGAAAATGTATTTATATTAAAAATACAGAAGATTAGCTAGTGGTTTCTTATATATTACATGAACTATGCGTTTGGCAATATGGCAGTCAAGATATTCTAAAAAACCTTGCTAAAACAGAGCAGGAGAGGCTTAATAAATTACAACAAGATTCTCTTTAAATACATATTTGAGTTCAGGCATAAGTAGGGGAAATCTGGAGTATGAAAAAATAGAGGTGAATCAAGAACAGTGAGTACTGAAGTCCCAGCTGGAAGAACGGTGACCATGAATCCTGCGTAAGGCCAGAACTTTGTGCTATACTCTATTTCTCTACACCTTTGTCAACGATTTAAAATGTTAGATTTAAAAAATTATTTCCCATTTGAAAAAGCTCTTTGTGGTTTTGTTTTTCCCTGATTACTAATAAAGACAAGCATCTTTTCATATATTTATTGGTCATTATATATATATATATATATATATAATTTGCCACCTTCATGTTCACCCATTTTTCTCTTAAGTTGCAATTTCTGTTTGTTTATATGGAGAAGTCCTTTATAAATGCCAAATGTGTATTTGACATACCACTGGACTCCTGTTAGAATGGCTACAATTAAAATGACTAACCCTATCAAGTGTTGCTGAAGATGTACAGCAACTGGCATTTTCAGACTACTGTTGGGAATCGAGATGGTGCAACCCTTCAGATAATAGCTTAGCAGTTTTTTTTTTTAAGTTAAACATATACCTATGTTTATGAGGAGTGAAAACGTACGACCCAGAAAGACTGATCCATGAATGTTCATAGACGCTTTACTGATAATAGCAAAAAACTGGAAACTACCCAGATACCTATCAATGAATGTATGGATAAACAAATCGTGGAATGGGATACTGATTAACAAAAGGAATCAACTACTCATATACACTATGATATGGATGAATTTCAAAATAATTATTTTAAGTAAAACAAGCCAGACAAAAAAGAGCACATATTCTAAGATTCCATTTATATAAACCTAAAAAATGCAAACTGATTAATGGCACCAGAAAGCAGATCACATGTTGCCCGGGGTGAGATGTGGTAAGGGCAGAAGGGAAGGATTGCCAGTGAGCAGGAGGAAACTCCTGGGGACAATGAAGATGTTCATGTATTGATTCTGCTGGTAGCTTCATGGCATGAACTTGCAAGACGTCAAAACTTGTAAGACTGTGCGAGTATGTTCGTGTGCAGTTCATTGTATGTCAACTGATCAAAATGTACACTTTAGATATGTGTAGCTTACTTTATGTTAATTACACCTCAACAACACTGACTTTTACAAAAGCTCACAAGAATAAGAGAGTAAAGGAGAATCCTAACCACAGTAGGTCATCTGTCTTCTCAGATAAGAAATGTAAGTATTTCTTAAAGATAGTCACAATTAGGAAAATCCACTAACCTTCTCTTTATATCGTGATTTAAAAAAACAAAATATATCTCAATTAAGTTAAAAATAGCTGGAGGGGGAAGGTGGCATTACTGAAAACAAATATTTTTTGAAAAATAAAGGCAAGTGACTAAGTGAGGTCTAGATTGCAACACTATTGTTCCTCCTGCACGAAATATACTGTTAATGTTTTTGCTGTTGATATAATATACTGTTAATATACTCCTGTTGATAGTGGTAATCAGTATGGCAATACGTAAAGTTTTCCACTGGTTCATTCACATGGTTAAGAACCTTGCTCCACTGGGCCGGGCGCCGTGGATCACGCCTGTAATCCCAGCACTTTGGGAGGCCGAGGCGGGTGAATCACAAGGTCAGGAGATCGAGACCATCTTGGCAAACACGGTGAAACCCTGTCTCTACTAAAAATACAAAAAATTAACCAGGCGTGGTGGTGGGCGCCTGTCATCCCAGCTACTCAGGAGGCTGAGGCAGGAGAATGGCGTGAACCCAGGAGGCAGAGCTTGCAGTGAGCTGAGATCACCCCACTGCACTGCACCCCAGCCTGGGAGACAGAGCGAGACTCCGTCTCAAAAAAAAAAAAAAAAAAAAAAAAAGAACCTTGCTCCACTGATCACGTCCTCATGTAATGATAACATAATAATATACTCCAAATCAGCCTGTATATTTTCACTCCATTGATGAGACTGACCTAATCCATTATCATTCTTAGCAAACGTTATAATCATTTTTCTTTCTCTAGCTAAAAGTTTCTGAGTGCCAATCTGCAGCCACAAGTGAAACATTTCGTACCTGAACTCATTAAGATTTTCAGTCAAATCGCAGTCAAAACTTTGTTTCACGCACGAAATTATTTAAAATATTATATCAAATTACCTTCAGACTATGTGCGTAAAGTGTATATGAAATACAAATGAATTTCGTGTTTAGACTTGGCTCCCATCCCCAAGACATCTCATTATGTATATGCAAGAATTTCAGGCCTGGCGCGGTGGCTCATGCCTGTAATCCCAACACTTTGGGAGGCCGAGGTGGGCGGATCACGAGGCCAGGGGTTTGAGAATAGCTTGGCCAACATGGTAAAACCCTGTCTCTACTAAAAATATAAAAATTAGCCAAGTGTGGTGATGGGCGCCTATAATCCCAGCTACTCAGAGGCTGAGGCAGGAGAATTCCTTGAACCCGGGAGGTGGAGGTTGCAGTGAGCCGAGATCGCACCACTATACTCCAGCCTGGGTGACAGAGCAAGACTCCGTCTCGGGGAAAAAAAAAAAGAATTTCAAAATATGAAAAAAAAAAAAAAAACCCAAATCCAAAACACTTCTGTCCCAAGTATTTCAGATAAGAGATCGTCAACCTGTGTTTGAGCACTTACCATCTCCAAAAAGATGTGCCATGAGCCTGGTAAGCGTTTGCTTAAGATCAAACTCTACAAGCTTCACGGCCTCCATGGTGTGTGTCTCTTGTTTATGCGCAGAGCGAGAACTTTGTTCAAAGAGCTGCAGGCTTTCTCCATCCTTTATACCAGCAAATAACTGTAAACCAACAGGAAAGTATAAATAAAGAAAATATCCTGGCCCATCTATATCAGATAACTTTAAAATTCTGCTAAGAATCTTTTGACTCTAAAAAGTTATAATGTGGGAATAAGACTCATTATGTCCTGTCAATAAACGTAATGAAATTAACATTCACTTAGTACAACTCTGAAGAAAACACTACGCTACATGGTATGGGGGGTTTTTAGAGAATTAAGACACTCTTCTGATCTTTGCTAATCTGTTTTTGATTTGCATGAACTTATAGTCAGTTCCCAACAAGAGACATTATCCTCAATTCTAGTGGAAATACTAGTGAATCGCTTTCATATTCTAAAATTACATCCCTGACCATCCCACAGTGTCGAGGAATTAAATCCTGTAAGGTCCATGAAGGTAGGAAGCAAGCTGGAATTTGCTAGTCCTGTATCTCCAAGGCTCAAGGCAGAGCCTCAAACATGTTTCTGCCGCTTACTATCTGTGTAAACTTAGGCAAGTGATACAGTAGCTAAGCCTCAGGGAATCATCTATAAAGTGGGAATAATAATAGTAAATTAGTAGATTTTATTACAAACAAAATAATATATAAAAAATACAGAGTATCTGGCACATTCCAATGGCTAAATAAGTTTTCCTCATTATTGTCTTCATGATTATTAACCACAGCTATCATTAGTCATAAGCTGCTTTACCACTGAAATAAAGTAACTTTCTGGTCAGTGACACAGCAGGTCTTTACTTGGTAGAAGATTGGCTCAAAAGGGATAACTGAGCAAATGAATGTATCATTCTTCCCACCCAAAGTCCCATAATCAAACATAAAAAATGTTTTAATAAAAGAATGAGTCAGCTGCCATTTCTAGTAATGTTGGTTTTGATAATTAGAACCAAACTTCCTGATAAATGCTACTGAAAAAAATACAGAAATTCTTAACAGCATTGAAGAAGTAAAACCGAGATAGAGAGGAGTGACTGAACTCTACAGGAAGCATGAAGCCAGGGGTAAAAAATTAAAAAATAAAAATAAAAAATAAAGTAAGCACAAAGCCAGAGAGAAGCATTGAGAGTATCTGCCTATCTAACCTATCAACTGAAAACCTGAACATGGGTTGTAACAGCTTACCATGGAAGTGAGACAAAAGGGAAAGCTTTGCTGTGGAACCAAGCTGGGGTGTTTGAGTCCCTAAAAGACTCATCCCCCTGATGAGGATGAGCACAAAAGTAAACCAGTCCTTGTGTAGACTTGCAGTCAGGTATCACATTTTCTGAACAATAGAGAGAGCTTCAGGCTACGAAGATGATCTAAGGCAATCCCAGACATACTTCCTCTAACTGGCCAGCAAAATGAGACAAAACCGTTTTCAGAGAAATATTCTAATATCCTAGGCCTCAAATTATTCTTATGAGGACTAAAGACAATGACGGCTGTCAATGCTTCCTCTAAAAATAATTTAGAGCAACAAGAACAAATAAAACTATTGAACACAATGCCTTTGGCAGGCAGGCAGGCAGGCAGGAAGGAATGCCAGTCAAAACCTAGGGACAGAACTGTTATACTCCTACCCCACTGATAAGGCTTTGAAGTAAGCAAGAGCAAGCTGGAAAAAATAAGAGAAAGAGAGGAGAATGAGTGAGGTGCTAAGGTTGACCTTAGAAACCCAGAAAGTGTAAGTTACACTAAGTGTGAAAAGCCTTTAAAAAGTGTCCTAGTAGGCCTGAGCAGGGACCACAGAAAAGTGGTGTAAAAGCATGCCCAATTTGAAGTGAGAGGATCCCAAAACCATAGTTACAATAAAAGAAAAAGGAGTTAATACAAAGCGAAAGACAACCTTTTCAATTGAGTAGGAAGAGAAAAAAGATGCAAATGAGAAAATTCAAGGTTGTGAAAGATAAAGCACAGCTAAAAAATTAGAGGATTTACAAAACCATTCTCTAACCCACACCAAAAATAAATAAATAAACCACTAAAGTGTGCATTGCTACACTAACAGAAGAGGGCACCAGAGACTAAGGAAGTCTTTTACACAACCAAAAAGGAACGACAAATAAATTCAATAAAAATATAGAAAATTATTACTCAAAAATCAGAAAGTCAATTCAAAAGAGCTCAACTAATGAAAATCCAACTTTTCTCCCACCCACCCCCCAAAACTAAGGAGCACTAAAAAGAAACACAAACTAATACTTAAAAACTAAGTTACATATGCTCAATCAAGCATTTAAGGATATAAATTGCTTTAGTCAGAAACTCAAAAATTAAGAACAAAAATAGAGAAAAAATGAAAAGAGAATTGATTTAACTCAGAAAAAAAAAAGAAATAAAATCATCTCAGAAACAAAATCTAAATTCCAAAGCATGCAAGGGACAATGGAATCAATCAAGATTTAATGAGGGGGCATTGAAGAAAAGGAGAAAAACAACCAGAAGGAGGATGGTAAAATAAAGAAAGAAGAATCAGAAAGAAAGTGGTAGAAATGGAACACAGGCAAAGAAGGAATTACATTTATATAATTGGAGTCCGTTAAAGAGGGAAAAAAAAACAATGGAGCAGAACTAATACCAGATAAAATGGGTACCTGTGAAAAAGAACCTGGAAAAATCAAATATAGGACATATTCTTATAAAACAGATTTCATAAATAATGGGGAAAATCGTCAAGGCCTCTAGGCAAAAAGATCAACTAATGTAGAGGAGTAAAGCAATCAGAGTGGCATCAGATTCTTCAAAAACAACACGGAAACAAGACAACAATGAAGCCACATTTTCAAACAACTCAGTTTTTAAAAATGTGGGTCAAGAAGTTTATATCCATCAATGCTGTCCTTAAAGCACCAAGTCTACAGAAAAAACGTGAAACACACAAGAGCATAGGAATGTCACATTAATGAGCTCTTTCTGAAGAATTTACCAAAGCATGAGCCTTGTTCAAGTAATAAATAACTAGGAAAATTTCAGCACAAAACAAATGGAGAACATGTTAATACATAAAAATTACAGATTTCAGACTAAAAGCTGGGGATTACATTGAAAGACTAATATCCAATTGTTATATGTTCTGACAAAGTAGAAATAACGTAACTAAACAATGGAAGAAAGCAGCAAAGAGGAAAGTAGAATATACTGATTATTGCATAGGCAATAGTTAAAGAATACTTTTACTAAGAACAAAGTTAAAAATGAGGGATAAGGGACTTTAAAAGTTTTAAGTATAAAAGCAACCATTAAAACAAAAATATAACCTTTCTAAAGAGCAACCAAAATTTCAATTCAAAAGCATAATAAAACATATATTGTAGAGAAATAAAATGTAACATGTTATGACATATATAACACCACAATATATTATGATAAAGTTCAGATCGAATATATCAATAACTCAATAAATGTGAAAGTAATATCAATAAATATGAACAGGCTTAATTCACCTCTTAAAAAAATAAATCTGGCCACAAAGCATGACTCAACTATACAAAAGATACACCTAAAACAATGTTAAAAACAAATGGATGGACAGAATATAACAGGCAAATGGATACAATAAAAAAGCAAGCATAGCATTCTTAAAATCAGAAAAAGTAGAATTCAAGCAAAAAAACACCGAGCAAGACAAAGAAGATCTTGTATTAATGCTAAAAGTTTCAAATCACAGTGAAGGTATAACACTTATGAATATCTATATATCAATAAGACAATTATTACCTCTGTGTAGAAAGAACCATAGGGGACGCAAAAGACACACATAGAAACACATTAATATTAATGATAATAGGAAACTTTAATACATCATTCTTAGTATAAGATCAAATGTGCAAAATTAATAAGATAAAAGACCTAAAAACATAATTAGGAAATGAAATCATGTGTGTATACATAAATATGTATACGTATATTTTACACACACACACACACATACACACATATTAAACTTACTCCCTTCATAATGAAAAATACATTTTATTTTCAAGGGCCCAGAGAATATTAACAAAAATTGATCACATAGTAAGTCACAAAGAAATAAGTATATTCCATAAAGAAGAAATAATAAACTATACTCTCTGATTAAAATACAATAAAACTAAAAATCATTCCCATTAACAACATACAAACACACACACACATAAAGGTCTTTCCACCTGAAAACTGACAAAAAAAGAAGGGGAACAAAAGTCAGGAAACATACACCACAAAGAGGTAATACCACTAACGTAAAGAAACTTTTAAAAGTTGACAAAGGGCCAAAAACTCCATAGAAAAAGAACAGACAATTCATCAAAAAAAAGATATGAAAATGACCCCTGAACACATGAAAAGGAATTCAAACTTAAAGAGCAAATTAAGCAAATTAAAATAACACTGACATAATACTTCTATCACAATGGCAAAAAGTTAAAAGTCAGACAACATATTCTTTTGAATACGCTGAGGCTTTGGAAAATAAGTACAGTCATACTTTGCTGGTGAAAATGGAAACTGGTAGAACCCTTTTGGAGATGAATTTGACAACACCCAACAAAACTACATATTTGTTGATCTCTTGACCCAGTCCTTCCATTTCTAACTACTTACCCTGAAAATATACTTCCAACATTAATACACATGCACAAAATTTTCATTGTAGTATTGTTTGTAACTGCACCATATTTTTTTAAAAAGTCTCACATTGGAAAGATGTTAAATAAACTATGGTCTACCTATACAATAGAGTACTTTTGCAGGTGTAATAAAGAACGAGGAAGATCTCTCTGGACTGATATGGAATGATTTTCAAGACATCCTGATAAATAAAAAAGGCAAAGTGCAAGAGGGCATATATTACTTGCTACCTTTCATGTAAGAAATAATAAAATACACATGAATCATCTCATTTGTGAAAAAAAGGAAGGATAGGCTAGAAATAACAAAAATAAATCACCTACACAGAGGTGGTGGAAACAGGATGGAAAAAATGGTTGAATGGGAATAGAGTATAATGAATGGCAGAGTGGGGGTCATGACCTCTAAGTAAACCTTGTTGTATAGTTCTGAGTTTTAGAAGGACGTTAATACTTTATCTACGCAAAACATTAAAAATAAAATCCTGACACCTGCAATCCCAGCACTTTGGGAGGCCAAGGCAGGAGGATCACTTGAGGTCAGGAGTTCAAGACCAGCCTGGCCAACATGGTGAAACACCATCTCTACCAAAAAATACAAAAATTAGCCAGGCGTGGTGGCACACGTCTGTGATCCCAGCTACTTGGGAGGCTGAGACAAGAGAATCACTTGAACCCGGGAGGCAGGAATTGCAGTGCGCCTACATCATGCCACTGTACTCTAGCCTGGGCAACAAAAGGAGACTCCGTCTCGATGATGATGATGATGATAATAATAATAATAATAATAATAATAATAATAATAATAATAATAATAAAATAATATAAAATCTACCCAGAGGTGGGAAGAACACAAATGGAATACAAACAGTAATGATGGACAGAAGTTTATTCTAAATAAATGACAGCCACTTAAAGAGAGTGGAGAAGAAAAGAATTAACCAAAATAACTTTCAAAAACAGTATTTTAACTAAATAAGATGAAAAACAAAATAAACATAGCAAATATTGTACACTAGTTAGCAAATTTTTTCCACAGAGGTATGTGTTAACAATTATGAAACTACCTTTATGTTCATTCCAGGACTGAACAAGAAAATAAATATGTCATGAGTAAGAAGAACCAGGTTTCTCACTGTCACTATCAAAGGCAATGGGGAGGGCTAGAATGAGCCATGTGGTGTTGGCTTAGATTGGAGGTACTCATATGAATTCATATTTTGTAACATATATGCAGATACATCAATACGGAAATAGAAGTAGGTATATGTATTTCCTAGCTCTGTCACTAGAGGGGGCCTACAAGTAATGATATCCCTAGGGCAATAAGTATACTCAGGTCTAGGCTTCTAAATACCATTCTTTAATAAAAAAGGAACAGAGTTTCTTAAAGAAATGACTGATTCCAGGGCTGGGGTGGAGAAAGTAAAAGATGAATCTGGGATATCTCATGGGGACAAAAAATGATAACATGTCAGAGGACACAGAAAACTACTTAAGGGGCTCCCAAAGACCAAACCTGGGTAAATTTCAGCAATAAAATAAATCATTTTAGTAATAGGTTATAACCCATACAATAACCAAATATTCATGAAGCCATACTGATATAAATAATTAAATAAATATATGGGAGAGAAGGTAAAGGTCTTCCTTACAGTAAAATTCTAATTAATACCTTTAGAATAAATTAGAAAGAAAATAACCATTTGACAAACACCACAATAATTTCTGGCAAAAATTATCAAGGGAATCCAAAGTTAATAGGGCAAAATATTATGAGAACTATTTACACAGTCTCAAAGTATCTTCCTGCAAACACTATTAACTACAAAGGGGAAAATAATAATGGCGGAGAATCCTAATGGATGCCACATTTACCGAGTGATCAGAGTTAACATATCACCACCACGTTCTTCATGATAGAACTCACTAAGGGCACAACAAAATCTCCATGGCATTTTTGTCAAAAATGTAGAATATGAATTTCACCATGAGAAAATACAAAATCATGTCAAGTTGAGAAACATGACACAAAATATATGGCCAGTACCTTTCAAACATATCAAAGTCATGATAAAGAAAGACTGAGTAACAATATATGGCCAGTACCTTTCAAATACATCAAAGTCATAATAAACAAAGGAAGACTGAGTAACTATCCCAATTTAATAAAGGAGATGGACACGTGAAAAATATAACATGTAATCCTAGATTGAATTCTAGTCCAGAAAAAGGACATGTTTTTAAATTCAAGCAAACACATTTTTCAATTTTACATGTTCTATTTAGTTCTTTCTCAATTCGGCATAGTCTCTTTTTTTAAATAAAGACTTTTTTAAGCATCGTTTTAGGTTCACAGCAAAACTGAGAGGAAGATACAGAGATATCCCATATAATTCCTCCTCCACACATGCACAGCCTCCTCCACTATCAGCATCCTCCACCAGAGTGGTACACTTGTTACACTAGATGGACTTACACTGACACATTATAATCACCCAAAGTCCTTAGTTTACCTTAGGGCTCACTCTTGGAGTTGTACATTCTATGGGTTTAAACAAATGTCGAACATACATCCACCATTATAGTATCACACAGTGTTTTCAGTGCCCTAAAAATCTTCTACGCTCAGCCAATTCATCACTGTCTCCGCACTGGCCCCTGATCATCACTGCTCTTTTCACTGTTTCCCTAGCTTTGTGTTTTCCAGAATATCATATAGAGGGAAACATAGAGTATGGAGCCTTTTCAGCTTGTCTTCCTTCATGAGTAATATGCATGTACATTTCCCCCATGTCTTCTCATTGATTAATAACTCATGTATGATCTTTTGTTAAAAACCATTTTTATTACTTATACGTATTTGAGATTGTATTTTCTACTTCTTTAAAGATTTCATACAGTTATTTTATACTTTGCGCCAAGGAATTCAAATAGCTGAAGCAACTGGGTGTGATTTCTGCTGATTTTCACACAGGATGGTTTGTGTGTGGTGATCTTAGGCTGGATGATATCAAATCAGGGGGAAACGTGAGGGCCTAGGTAGGGGACACTTGCCTTCAAAGACTGTGTGTAACCAGGGCAGCAACAGCCCTGGAACCAATTTACCGCTCTTGAAGAGGTGAAGGTGAGGGGCCCAGGTTTGACTTCCCCATCTTGCCACTACTACCAAGAGGCCTGATCGCTCAGCTGCCCTGCTGCTGACAGCAGCTGTAGCACCTCCACACGCTTCATGTCAGCTCACTGCTCCTGGCGCTCAGTTCCTTCCATTTTCTCCCCTCTCCCTTGGGAAGTTCTGTCACTTTCGGTGAGCCTAAAAATTGTAACAAAATTATTTTATGTGGAGTCTAGTTGGGGTTTTTTTAGCCAGCATATCTAGTCTGTGAAAGAAGTGGAAGTTTCCGGAACTTGATTTCATAAACTGCTTTCAGAATCAAATTATAAATCTCCCAGGGGGTGAAAAATCCTCATACTTTTATACCTTGTTCTTAATCAAAACAGTATTATTACTCCGCTTGACAACCCCAAATTCCAGCCTTGTAGCCAAATGATTTTTTACAAATGATTATGCAAAAAACAAATCTCTGAAGGGATGAAGGCTGAGGACCAATGACAATATATAACGGTGAAATTAAACACAACTCTAACAATATTTGAGCAACTTTAGCATCACTGGAATTTATTTCCCCTGAGGAAATTAACTGAAAGATAAAAATAGCCTTTAATTACTAGAATCTATTTTTAAAAATCTCTCAGTACCTTTTAAACATAATATACATGCAACATGGAGCTCTTGGGAAGCAGTTTATATGAATTCCAGGTTTCATGAACATTATTCTTTAAGAACAATGAATTTAGTAAATACAACAGATTAAATTAGCAAGCAATAACAATTTTCTTTAAAGAATAGTTATATATGAAATAGAGTTATCCTAATAGAATACTAGAATGTCAGTGGGCTATGACATTAACATTAAAATTCAAGATTTAAAACAAAACCATAACATTAAAAACATTTATCACCACTAGGTGGTCAGATTGCCCATAATTTTTTTCTTCTCAGTGCTTTTAGATATTTTATACATTTCCTCAATAAGCAAGGTTACATTTGAAGTTGCAGAGAAAACAACAAATGTTACTACAAGGATAAAAAGAGGAATAGGAAAGGATTCAAACATCAGTCTCTCCTAATGCTAGAAATACAGTGGCCAACCCCAAAATTATTATAAGCACACAGTGTTTTGATATTCCTACAAATGAAGATAAAGCTGTTTTTTCCAAAGATGGAAACTACTCCCAGAACACGTTAATTAGTGGAGAATAAGGAGAGGAGAACTAATAAGATGAAATGGAGGGGAATATTTCACTAGTAATGGTACAGAGAAAAATGAGGTGTTCTTGGTCAAAATGTGGCTCCAGGTAGAGAGTGTCATCCCTACTAAACAAAAATATAAATAACTGATCAGGGCCAGAAAGACCCCAGGTTCCAAAGAATATCTTTTATAGTCCAGGAAAAGTGAAAATTCTGTTACCTGATCTAGTTTGGTAATAAAAGGAAGTATTTACTTGCAATTATATATTAAAAACCAATCAGTGGCCAGGCACAGTGGCTCACACCTGTAGTCCCAGCACTTTCAGAGGCCGAGGCAGGTGGATTCCTTGAGGTCAGGAGCTCAAGACCAGCCTGGCCAACATGGTGAGACTCTGTCTCTACTAAAAATACAAAAATTAGCCCAGTGTGGTGGTGCATGCCTGTAATCCCAGCTACTCAGAAGGCTGAGGCAGGAGAATCGCTTGAACCTATGAGGCAGAGGTTGAAGCGAGCCAAGATCACACCATTGCACTCCAGCCTGGGTGACAGAGCGAGACTCTGTCTCAAAACCAATCAGCACAATGTTGACGGTCATTCAGCTAGAAAAGAGAACTAGAGCAGGGCCTTGCAGAATAAGCCTGGCTAAACTAAGAAACGGCAAAAAAAAGAGAGAGGCCTACAAGGTGACAGTCCTACTCTCCTACAAAAGACGCAGATCATCCTTTTTTAGACAATGGAATATGGTTTCTGTACCACTTCGAATGGCAAAATGAGTGTGACGTCAAAAGTTAACGAGCATCAAGAAAAAAAATCTTTTTATATTGCAGTTATTTAAGGACACCAAATGCTTTTTTTTTAAAAAAAAACACTGTCCCTTACTAACAACACAGATGTTTCAAAGTGACACTTGAAAGAGAAAACAAACAGCCCCTACTCCATGTCACTTACAGAAGGTACAAGAAAAACAGCAGAGTTTCCATAAGATATCACCCAGTTCGACATTTTCTAATTAGGTACTTAGATTATAAAACCTGAGTAATAAAACCTTCATAGTTTTACTGTAATTTTTATATGTACATATATGTACACACACAAGCATGTGTCACTTAAGGAAGAGGATACACTCTGAAAAATGCTTCATTACGCAATTTTGTCATTGTGCGAACACCATGGAGTGTAGTCACGCAAACCTAGATGGTATAGCCCACTATGCACACCTAGGCTATGAAGTATAGCCTATTGTGCCTAGTCTACAAATCTATAACAGCATGTTACCATACTGAATACTGTAGGCAACTGTAACACAAATCACTAGGTGATAGGAATTTTTCAGCTGCATTATAATCTTGTGGGACCATTGTCATATATGAGGTCTGCCATTAACTGAAATGTTTTCTGCTCGTGCTCACCTCAGCAGCATATATACTAAAACTGAAATGTTTTGCGGTGCAGGACTGTGTGCGTGTATGTACATATACACACATACATTTATTTCAGCTTTATGCTCCTCCTCATTCTGAAGCTTAAATAGTCCCCTCTTTGACAGTAATGTCATTATGTAGTTACCAGAGGAAAATAAACTCTTCTTTCAAATTTCTACTCAAGCCAAGGAGAAATACTTGATCATTTAGGAAGTCAGAGCCTTAAGCTTCGGTCCAATGTGGCCATGACCATTCCTGGCAATAAAAACCAAAGCCAACACATTTTCAGTCTAAATGCATAGCAGGATGCTCGAGATGTCTCACTCACTCTGCCCCTTCCATCCACATACTAAACAAACATCACAGAGGAGATGACCAATGAGCATCTCAGCAGTTCTCCATCCTCACGCAAGGAGGACAGCTCTAATACCCACGGTCAAAGAGGAAAAGGGTGCCTTTCTCCAAACAACACGTTTGCGTGATAATACTAATTATACCTCACACTGGTAAACTGTATTATAATTTTAAAAGTACTTGTCATCTTCTTGCCTTTTTTTTAGGTGGAGTCTCGGTCTGTCACCAGGCTGGAGTGCAATGGCAAGATCTCAGCTCACTGCAACCTCCGCCTCCGGGTTCAAGTGATTCTCCTGCCTCAGCCTCCCAAGTAGCTGGGACTACAGGCACGCACCACCATGCCCAGCTAATTTTTTTTGTATTTTTAGTAGAGACGGGGTTTCACCATGTTGGCCAGGATGGTCTCGATCTCTTGACCTCGCGATCCGCCCACCTCAGCCTCCCAAAGAGCTGGGATTACAGGCGTTAGCCACCATGCCCGGCCAAAGCACTTGTCATCTTCTACATGAGCCACTGCATCGTCACTCCCAGACCCTCCACTGCTGCCACTGACACCATAACCACCACTCCTTTACACACATGGAATCCAAATCTGTGGGAGTATCTTTTCCAGGATTCCATGGTTAGCCTATAATAATCCTGAGAGTCTACCTGTGCATTACAGGATTCAATTATTTATTGCGACCAAGCTAGTTTCAATAGATCAATCAGAAATACTAGTATATCCATGTAGGTACATATGAAAAATATTAGGGACATATTAGGGAATGGTTGAAGCAATAAATCAAAAACCCACTGATAATTCCCAAAATGCAGCACACATTCCATTGTGAAAACTTATTTTACATATATTTTAATAAATTTTAAAAATATTTTCAGATATTTAAAATCAATATATTTTATGTGTATATATATATACACACACACATATATGTATATATACATATATATAATATATACACACATATATGTATATATACATATATATAATATATACACACACATATAATATATACACACATATATGTATATATACATATATAATATATACACATACATATATGTATATATACACACATATATATACATGTGTGTGTGTGTGTGTGTGTGTGTGTGTGTGTGTATATATATATATTTTAGAGCAAGTGTTTTGCTATGTTGCTCAAGCTGGTCTTAAAGCTTAAGCTTCAGTCCAATGTGGTCATTCTGGTCATCCTAGGCTCAAGCAATCCTCCCACTTAAGCCTCCTGAGTAGCTGAGAGAGCAGGTGGGCTAAGTACTTCATTTTAATAACTACATAATACTTTCAATGTGTATAGAAAAATATATAACTCTCCTATCAAACCCATGATTTCACAGGTACTATAGCTTAGAATAGCGCTAAGCAAAAGAGGTCAGTCACTTTAAGGCTATTTTTAGAAAATTATTAAGATCTAATCATACATGCACTATATGGGTATGACCAAAATATAACTGTAAAACACAGTAAAGTTTTCAAAACCCTGAAATAAGGAAAAGCAGCAGTTCATAAGGCCATGTGCACAACACAACACAGAAGAACAAGACTAATCAAAGGCAGAGATTATTTCTAATGGAAATATAACACTGGAGCTGGAAGAGACTGTAGTCCATTAACCAATGCCATATAAGGATAGGAAACTCAGAAAGGTAAAGACCCAGAGAGGGTAAGATCACTCAGCCAATTAGACATCAGTCCAGGACCAATCTCACCCTTGATTCCAGGGACCTCTAAGTATCTGCCTCTCACTTACCTTTATGTTTGGGAGATACCACAGTATTGAAATTAAATTAATTTCCATTAATCGCACCCAACAGTTTGTATAATTTATTTTCCACTAGGACTGCTTCTATTTCTCTGACATTTTCCTAACTGTCCTTGTGCAAATCCAAATGACCCAGAATACAAATTCAACCCCAACTACAACTGCTTACAAAAGCCACAGAAAGTAGTTCAGAACTACTGAGGAATTACTGAGCAAGGAATTACTTCTAATCAGATTTAAGAATAAAAGTAGATTGCAAAAGCCAATTAAATTTAAAATTTAGAAAGCCAACAAGATTTTCCCAAAAGGTCTAGATTTTAAACACACATTTAAAGGGCACAGAAAAAAGAAAACGGACAGAAGAAGAATTTGCTTCTTTGCAAAATCCTACAAGTGGCAAAGTGAAAATGAGGCTTGGATGATAGTAGATTTTCAAGGAGATATTGAGGACTGGTCTGTGGCTCCCAAAGTAGTCATTTTTATACCAGCCATTAAAAAAAAAATAACTATTGACCACCAGTTTCATCTATACAATCTGCCTTACAAATTAATGCTAAACACTTATCTATCCTGACTCTGAGTTCCTGTGACTGATAACATGATCCTATAACACACTTCACTGCCACTTGCAGTACTAACGGTTAATAGTTACACACCGTTTAGTACCTTTGCTACCTTGCTGAGTGCTTATCTTACATACTATATGGTTTTCTTTAATCTTCACAATCCTTATTATTTCCCCATTTCTCAACTAAGAACCCTGAGGCTTAGTGAGGTTCAATAACATGTACCATGACATAGTAAATGGTGGAGCCTGAATTCAACCCAAAATCTCCAAGTCATGACCCCATCTTCCAGGCTCTGTGGTTATTTCCGTGATGGAATATATACTATCACTCTCTTCAGCTTCAGTATTAAAAGGGGCAATAGGGTCAGATGAATAGGATTTAGAACTGGACATAAAACACTCATGAACAGAGCTGAGCTGCAATAGCTCCACACACTTCTACTGCTTTAGGCACCCTGAATAAAATAATGACGGTTTACCCTAGTTATATCATTCCTATTGAACAAGGACTAATACATTTCTCAAAAAGTGATAAATTCAGGTCTGCCTTTAAAATGCACTTAGCATATGTGCAATTGCATCAATGTGAACAGTTTCTTGGGTTATTCCAGGAGGACTGCTTTGAAAAACATGTAAGCTATGATCATGTTCCACATTATTCATAAGAAGGCACTGTGTGGTTAGAGGCCATGTGAACTCCCAAAGGCAACATGGAGTACGGGAAAGGGGCCATACCTGGGGCAGCTATTAGGACACCCGGGCTTGACACTGGTTATCTCAGCCCCTTTCCTCTTAAACTAAGGGAATAGAAGAGAACCAAAGAAAAACAGCAGAAGAAATGTAGGCATAATATGTTTGAGAACTGACCAAATAAATGTTCCTTATATACACTGTAAGGGAAAGAAATATTGCTCAAACCCAGGAGCTGTTCACAAGAAAGCCTTCACACAGAAAAGACACTGGTTTGTGATACTGTTGTTCGGTTTATAAAATTCTGAAAGATGATGTGTCATAGAAAACAATCAAAATAATCCTTGAAGTAACAGTAGAACTTGAGCAGTCCCTGTGGTTACCTGGGGACTCATAAAAGGCAGGATCCATCAAGGGTGCTGAGTAAGGATATTTTTAGCATGTGCGATGCAAAAGAATACATACTCATTGCTTTCTAACTTAATCCTAACGCTGATGAAATAATTATACCTACTGTTCCTGCCTGAGGTGTCTGGGGCCAAGCATGGGCTTGGAAACTGGCCTTACCTCACAGGGAAAGAAAGCAATAGTACTCACTTTCTGAATAACCTAAACAAGCAAGGTAAGTACTGGAACAAAAAAACTGTAGTAGAGGCTGGGTGCAGTGGCTCATGCCTGTAATCCCAGCACTTTGGGAGGCCGACATGGGTGGATCACTTGAGGCCAGGAGTTCAAGACCAGCCTGGCCAACATGGTGAAACCCCATCTCCACTAAAAATATAAAATTAGCCTGGCGTGGTGGCGCGTGCCTGTAATCCTAGCTACTCGGAGGGCTGAGGCAAGAGGATTGCTTGAACCCAGGAGGCAGAGGTTGCGGTGAGCTGAGATCATGCTACTGCATTCCAGCTTGGGTGACAGAGAGACACCCTCTCTCAGGAAAAAAACAAACAAACAAAAACAACAATAACAACAACAACGACAAAAACAAAAAAACTGTAGTAGGAGCAGAATTCAGAAAGCTTTGTTTCAGAGAGGAAAATCAGAAACAGATGTAACATTTTCAAACTACAGGCATTTTTCCATTGTAACATTAAGACAAATATAATAATGTCACTTCAACTGCATTTGAAATTTTCAAGCAGGTGGTAAGTCAGTTAGCCACTACCGTATCACCAATTTCACTAATTCTAGCTTCATAAGTCAATCTTTGCCTGAGGTAATAGACCAAAAAGGTAAAGTCTGATGGGATACACCACAGGACATTCTTGCTCTGCACAATACCAAACGCAAGTACAAGTGACTTGAGCAGTGAAGAGATGACCCAAGAGAATGCTAATAGAAAAATCTTGCTAGGTAATGCAGCCAAACAAAATCGTTTCAGTAGACAGATTGAGTACATGAAAGAAAGGAGGTCATAACTAAGAGTCCAGGCTGTGCCAACCAGCATCTTAATAAAGAGGAGAGAGAGAGAGACAGGACACAAGAGAGAAGATGGCAAGGGAGGGGAGGAGGAACAGTAGCAGCTTGGAGAACTCAACAATAGTACTCGCCTAACACAGTGGTCAACTGATGTAACATTTTCAAACTACAAGGCATTTTTGCATTGTCCAAGAATGACGCTATGTCCAAAGCCATAAAATATTTCTGCAAGCCGATATTTTTTAACTGTTTCATTTAGCTGTATGATTCTATTAGAAAGGATCTGACAGAAAAGTTTAGCAGCTTAATTAGGAAGGAAAAATCTTACTCTCTGAGTAAAAAGTAAAGAGATTCTTTGACATCTGTGGATGTGAGGGGAGGGCAACAATAAACAGATATGACGGAGAACTGAAAACCCAAAGGGGCCCATGGAATACAAGATACCTGCTAAATAATTCTGTAGGACAAGTATGACAAAAGGGATTTTTTAAAAGGATTTTGAAATATCCTGGCTTTGAGAAGCAGATACCAGAGAGCAAAGTTCCACCTGGAGGAATAGCTCAGGACAACTGCCCACCGACAACAGAAAAAGGCACTTGGAGAAAATACAGATCCATTAAATATTTTTCAGAATGATTCCATATAGGTTACATGATACAAATGCTCTCTTCCTTATGAATTCATCAGCAAATACTAGATCACTCATGAATGATTTTGTAATGGCTGGACTCTTACAGGAACTAAAACAGGGTCTTAATTCTGTGTTTTGCTGAGAGTGAAGTAAAAACAGAGTGCACAAATGAGCACAGACACAGTGTTAGCCAGAAAAGAACAGGCTTTTTTATTCCAAACTCAATAGCTTAAAAATCATGGGCAAATATAAAATCAGTGCCATCTAGAGGCAAAGACATAGAGAACTATTTTATTACTGGCGATGGTACACGATCTTGTCACCAAAAAACATTCTTCATTATTAATCCCCGATGAACCCCATTTTAAAAAAGATTTGTGTCAAATTGCATTTAATAAATAATAATACTTTTTAAATTAAACACACATATAACTCACAGTAGGGTCATATGAACTTGATAAAATCCCAGTTGATATTTACTTTTTCTCTGCAACCATTTCCCCCCTGCCAAGTGTATGATTTTTGAAATAAGAAGACATAGGGTTTAAGATAAGATAATCCCAAAGACACAAGAAAGGGGATGCTTCAAATTATTGGTTCATCTCAGGTTTCTGAAGCATTAGTAGATAAGTGCTTCTCCCACTGTCAAAGATAACTGAAAAGGTCATAGCAAGAGAGTTTAGAAACAAAAGAACAAAAATGAATACAGGTAATAATGTAAAAAAAAAATTGGTTCACCAATTGTGACAAATGTACCATGCTAATATAAGATGATAATAATAGGATAAACTGAATATGGATTATACAGGAACTTTCTGTACTTTCTTTGCAATTTTTCTGTAAACCTAGAACTATTCTGAAATTAAACATTTATTGCAAAATTTAATATAGAGACAATATACTCCTCTGAATGAGTTCAGCATGCTATAGACAGATTGCAGCTCCAGGAACAACACTTCAGTCTCTTATCGTGAGAGAAGACAAGCAACCATGATTTGTAACCAACATGAAAGAATGAGGAAAGAGCTCTAGAAGGATAACATCACGACCTCTGGAGCAGAGACCCCCATCACAGTGTCCTGAACATAGCAGATGCTTCACGCTATTCTTCCTAATTACTTGATCAATGTAGACTGCCTCTATAAGCACATGCCGAGTCAAGAACCAAATTTTGGAGAAGAAAGTATTAGCTGTTCTCTCCAATTAACTTCAGAGACTATGCTAATCATGTATCTCACTTGTTAAAATGTCTATCCCTCCCACGCTACTTTCAACTGGGGAAAAAACTGGCTTTGTCCTCTTCTTTACTGAGAACAGAGAAGCCAACAGAGAAGAAGCTCCCTAATGTCTAAGCCCTGTATTCCCATTCATAAACATCTGTGCCTTTTCTGCAGCCATGCTTCAATCCTTCATTCCTACCTTTGTAACAACAGGAAAAGGGTGCCTTCCCCTGGTCAGGCGGCAGGTGTTACTAATCCATCTCCTCGCGTCTTGGATATACCCTATCCCGTCACTCTGTCTCCTCAAAGATGTCACTTAGAAATCATGCCATCTCTCTTGTACCAGTAATCTCTCCAAAGGCTCTTTCTCCTCTATGAATATATTCCATTCTTTCCTTTAAACAAACGGTCCAACAAACCAACAAAACTCCCTCCAGCCCCAGACCATGCTGCAACTATCCCCTCTCACAAATACAGTTAGGTTGATAGCTCTTTTTTGGTCTTCTTCACGCTTCCCTTCCTTCCACTGTCACTAAATATTTGTACGCCAAGGGACTCGTTTTCAGCCCTCTACAGTCTTTACCCTGCGTACCTTCCCCTAGATGAATGCAGCTAAACTGATAGCTCCAACTATCATCATATGCCCATAGATCACATATCTCCACCTCCACCCCAGGCGACTGTGCCAGGCCCAGATACACAGATGCACCTGCCAAGGGGGCATTTCTACTTGCAAATCCCAAACCTAAACATGTCTCAGACTCAAGTCTCTCTCCTGTCCCTACCCCAAAACACATTTCTCTTCCTGAGACCCCTAACTCTGTGAATGGCACCAAAAAAGCAACCCAGGAGTTAGTTTTAATTGCTTTTCCCTTTCCCTCACTTCCCCATGTAGAGGGATAAAATCCAATTAATTCCACCTCTTTTACATCCTTTCTTATCGATCATCCCTGCCATTTCCTTGGCTTAGCCTGCACTGGTTCTCTCGGACGATTGTAATAATCTCCTAACAACTCTTTCCATCACCAGTCTTGCCTGACCCTGCTCCATTCCACTGGCCACATTGCAGAATTATTTTTCTAAAATGCCAACCTGAACGATTGCCTCACTCTGGCCCCTTAAAATTTAGTAAAGACTCCTCATTCTTTTTAAACTGAAGTTCAAATTATAAAAGTTACATAGCAGGCCCTTCATGAAGCAGTTCGTGCTTCCTTCTCTAACTCCATCACCTGTCACTTTCCAATGTGCCACGCTCCACACTACACATTCCGGGGACTCGTCACCTTCATACATCTTCATTCCTTCAATCTGCTACTCACACCACCTGAAACACAGTGCCCCTTCTTCTCTGCCTGTACAACTATAATGTTTTGTCTGAGATTCTTTGGGACACCTTCTATTATTACCCCCAGGAATAGAGCTCTCCCTCTTCCGTGCCTTGACTGTATCTTCCATTATGCTGACTGTGGGGAGCAGAGTTTATACTTCATCTCTCTCTATATATATAGGAACAACACTTAGTCAATATCTTATTTTACAGCAATCTGGTTTAGGACGAGCTTCCCAAGAATGTGTGGCATCCAAACACAAAGGCAATCTATATCCAACTCGGTTCAACCAAAACCTGTCACTAAGCAGGCGACCCCTGAGCCCCAGGGATAAGCCAGTCATCTGCAGAGTGACAGACACAGGCCGTAACTGTGATGAATACAGCCTCACATACTTGGCAGGTCTACTGCTTATTAATCCTTGGTTCACATACAGAGAAATAAGAATCACTGCTAAACATAAGCACACTCACATTTCTTACCATAGAAACACCCAGCTGGGCGTGGTGGCTCACACCTGTAATCCCAGCACTTTAGGAGGCCAAGGCGGACAGACCACGAGGTCAAGAGACCAAGACCATCCTGGCCAACATGGTGAAACCCCGTCTCTACTAAAAATACAAAAAAAAATTAGCTGGGCATGGTAGTGCATGCCTGTAGTCCCAGCTCCTTGGGAGGCTGAGGCAGAAGAATCGCTTGAACCTGGGAGGTGGAGGTTGCAGTGAGCCGAGGTCATGCCACTGCATTCCAGCCTGGTGACAGAGCAAGACCCCGTCTCAAAAAAAAAAAAAGAAAAGAAAAAAAGAAAAGAAACTCCCAAGCCTTCATCTCCCCCAAATGCAGCAAGCAAATTCAATTACATTATTCAAATCCAACTAAAGCATTTCAGCAAATATTAAGTATTCAAATCACTTTGGAGGAAGGATTGGGATGCCTTAGTAAGATGAATAGACAGATATATTAAAGGGATAGCAAACTCATCCAAGTGGATTTCAGCTGCTAATTTCTACAGTTTTCAATTTCTTTAACCAACTGGGCCCTAAGTAGGATCTTCTACTGCTCATCATTCGGGAAGACTTGTGTTTCAAGGGCCCAGTTAAATACAACTCTGTCCTAAGGTCTCTATGGGAAGTCCCTCCCTGTTTTAACTAATTGATATTGAACCAGCTTTGCCATTGCCTGGATTTTCTGTAATGCACCACATGCCAATTAATCAAGTTACAGAGATGAGCACAGGGGAAGAAATGCACTAAAGCCCTATACTGCAAAAAGCAGACTTTATTTTCTCCCTGCTGCTTGTCTCATTTCCTCTCCTTGCAATGAGACTTTGTGCCAGTGGATTAATGGGAAGAGATGTGAAACAGTCAGTATTCTGTGGTGAAAGATGCTACAAAAATACATTGGTGGCTGAGAAACAACTTCTGCCAGGCAGCTGAACAAAATACTGGCTGTCAGGGTGCTATACTAGATTAGAAGCTCAAGCTTCAAACAGACAGGTTCCTCCTATTTCAGTCTGAGCTTTCTCAGGGAAACCCTATGTCAGACCTTTATTTTCCAACTCAAACAAGTCCTCGCTGGCCAACATGGCCTGTCCATATCTCCCCCTACTTAAGCCTCCATGACAGAAAACTCAAGTTGAACACATCACAGAGGCTACTCAGTTCCTTGCTTAGTGACCAAAACATGTGCTCTCCAGAGGCCAGGGACAATAGAAATCCTAAGGGCAGCAGATTCCATCCCATGGGATTCCACACAGCCATGTGGCCGGCAGAAGGCGAGGCTGCCCTCCGCAGTGCTCTCAGTGGGGTGGCATCGGCAGCTGCCTGAACTCGGCCTCCCCAAAAATACTGCCAAATGCTGCTGGGTATTTTGGAAATCTGGCCATTTGCTTTGCCTGCTTTTATTAATCCTGACATATCGCAATGACTATACTTTCCAGCACTTTTCTTCTCTCAGGGGCTCTCCTAGGAGAAAAGGAAGTAGATTAATATTACTGCCAAGCTCTGGCCTCTACAGAGAATCAGAAATTTCAATCCGTCAAAGCAAGGAAGCTGCACACAAATTACATGGAAATTAAATATCTCCATGTGTCAAGGCAAAAAGCACAATGACAACAACAAAAAACACCCCATTCTGGTGTGAACTGGTTCTCATGACAACCACCATGTAAAGTAGGAGAAAACTTCACCCATTCTGCTGTCAACTTTAAAATTATGATCTCTCAACATCTTCTTCCTGGGCCATGATGACAGATCAAACAGAGAGAAAGAGATTGCATTTTCTTCTCCAGGTGGCTAAACAGCTCATTCATGATGCCAGTGGGCAAAATATAACAGGACAAAGGCCCCATCTAAATTCCATCACCTGTTCTATAGGAAGGTGACAGAAGACACATTACTAATCAGTCAACCACGGGAAAGAACAGAAAAGACAGCAAAGGCTTTAAAAAAAAAAAAAAGTAGATCAGAACTAAAAAGGACAACCCACAAGATACATAATTGACATTGACAATGCTCAGATGGATCAACACTTAACACAAAAGGAGGAGACAACTATTTGTAAGATACACAGAAGGGGATGGGCAGGGCAGCGACCATTAGCTGAACACCTCCTAATGTCAGGAGCGTGGCAGGCTCATTCACCACCACTCAAGAGTTGTCCTCATTTTAGTTATGGACGCTGAAGTTCAGAGTGTTAACGTTAAAGAACTTATCTAAGGTCACCAGAGGCTGAGTTGCACAGCCAGGATTTGCCTCTCGTTTCGCTAGCTCAAAAGCTGGTGTTATTCTGGAGAATAACAAGCACTGCTATAAAAACAAACATTTTCAAGATATAATGTCCAGGCCATGGAGGGGCTCCAAAGGCCAGCGGCCAAAAGTTCCAGTCCTTTATTCAGTCCTAAAGGGTAAAAAAGGCATAATTCCTTATTCTTATACTTTTATGTACAAATAGAGGCTATTTATTGGTCATTGACTAAGTGGTACACTAGGAGTTATTAATAAAAATGTGGCATCGATAGAACATATAAATTAGAACTGACTGAGGACTCTCAGTGTTTCACCATGAAGATCCCCAAGAATGGTATGATGGTTAATTTTATGTGCCAACTTGACGGGGTCACAGGGTGCCCAGATATTTCATTAAACATCATTACTGGATGTGTCTGTGAGGGTGTTTCTGGACTAGATTAATACTTGAACAGGCAAAGCGAGTAAAGCATGTGGCCATCCCCAGTGTGGTGGGCCTCAGCCAATCCATCAAGCACCTGAATAGAATAAAATGCTGAGGAAGAAAGAATTCTCTCTACTTCACTGTCCCTGTACTGGGACATCAGTCTTCTCCTGTCTTCAGACTTGGACTCCATTGGCTCTTCTGCTTCTCCAACCTTCAGATTGTGACAAACTATAATGTTTGTCCTCCTGAGCCATCTTTTTATTATATATCTGTGCTATATCCTATTGGTTCGGTTGCTCTGGAGAACCCTGACTAATATAAACAGACAATAACAAAGAAGCTTCTACTCCCTGCAGCACTCTTCAAAAGGTGGAATCTCCACGATTCCAAGAAGTAAACTATCAGTGGATCTTCAGTGGTAGCCTGAGTTGGTTGTAGACTTCACATACTATTAGGCCTTTTAATAATAAATCACTGTTACTCTAGCTACATCATTATGGATGACTTTACTGTGTGTAAATTGACATGATAGAATCAATATCTAACAACTAGATTTTAAGATTATATTTGAGACACTAAAGTTTAAATAAAAATCATTTGTACTACTATTACCAAAGGAGAGGGATACATATTCTACATAGTCCTACCACCAAATTCCCAAATGACACCTCATTGCTATCACTGAGTTCCTTTTGCATTAAAGAGATGAAAGAGTTGGGATAACTGAACTGAAGGGTCTTTTACCTTATCTGGAAATCCACAGCATAAAAATATTAAGAAGCATCACCCTGGAGAAGGTTAACCCAAGTTCCCTTGAAACTCATTCTCTCACTCAAAATCTTTATGGTGAGAAATCGTTCCTTGTCATTTGTCAAACGTAAATCTTTCTCTGCTTGATTTAAGCATAGCTCATAAACCTTAAAGAATACACACACGCTATCTAAAGTCCAACACATAACAAGATTCCAAGGGCCAGTGTTTACCAGATGGATGGCAAGATCTGCTCCCCGCAGGACCCATGCTGCCCACTGTCCCAGAGTCTGCTCTTTGGCTATCTGTCCGCCTCACCAGCTTTCTAAACAGAAACCAGCTCTTTGTATTTCCTGGTCCAGAAATGACCACAACTTAGGAATGCTCCCAGCCCTCGGAGAGAGACTTTCCACTTTTCCCTTGGTTTCCCCCAACACATCCAACCCAGCCTCCTGTTCCTACACTGCCTCTGACTCTGAACTCCTGACTTGGTTCTCAATCTCCAATCATTCTAATAACTGACATCTGGTCATACCCAAGTTAGGCAGCATTCTCTGCCTTCCTATAGCTAACTTAACCCTAACTTCCGTTGCTACTTACATAATCGACCACCAAACATAACCCCAGCATGGCAATGTGACCCAAAAGAAGTGTCACAGAAAAGTGGCAGATGTGGAAAGAGAGAGGATTGCTGAAAGAATCCAGAACAGATTTTCCAATTTACTACAGACTGAGATTGGGAATTACCTATTAAAAGCAAAAACTATCTCCTTGACCCTGACTTCAAATTTCATAATCTAATCCAGTAGCCCATAAAACCCTTTAACTAATAAGCCTATAAAACCCTTTAAACTATATAAAAAATTCTGCATCTGTGTGTGTGTGTGTATGTGTGTGTGTGTGTGTGTGTGTGTGTGTGTGTGTTTCTGGGGAGTATGCAAATTTCTCATCAGACTCTCAAATAGGAAAAGAAAAGAAAATTAGAAATCATTGCTATAGGCCGGGCGCGGTGGCTCACGCCTGTAATCCCAGCACTTAGGGAGGCCGAGGCGGGCGGATAACGAGGTCAGGAGATTGAGACCATCCTGGCTAACAGGATTTTTAGTCTCTACTAAAAATACAAAAAATTAGCCGGGTGTGGTGGCGGGAACCTATAGGTCCAGCTACTCAGGAGGCTGAGGCAGGAGAATGGCGTGAACCCAGGAGGTGGAGCTTGCAGTGAGCCAAGATCGCGCCACTGCACTCCAGCCTGGGCGACAGAGCGAGACTCTGTCTCATAATAAATAAATAAATAAATAAATAAATAAATAAATAAATAAATAATTGCTATAATGAACTACTATTGATCTTATATAAGATTATATAAAGTTTCTATAAAAACTAAAATATACAGCTAAAGACTAACATTGTATTTAGATGATGTATCTAGTTTAAGAAAACTATCTTACCTTTCAAATTCATTTAAACTAACAAAAGTTTACAATTTTGCAGAGACCTATCCCAGGATGAGTCAGGGAGATGACACAGAAAGCAGATTTTAGGACGAAGCCTCGGAGCGAAGACAATGAAAGTACCCAGTACAGGGTGCATTCTTGGTCAAATAGCAAGAGTGTAGTCTTTTACATTTGTGAGTAGACTGGGGTATCTGGACATATAATTCAACACTATGCGAGTGGCACCGGCTGCTAGCCATTTTTGAGGCTGGCTGGTAAAGAAAACTCCCTTTCACCTACAGCCCACCTGCACCTACCAAGCTCGAAATGTGAAATTAGACCACTCCATCCCTACAAGTAGCATTCGATGATACACACCAGGCAGAGAAATGCAGTTCCTAGCAAGGCGTGAAGTTTACTGTTAAAGAGCATAATTTCTCTGTGAAAATATTTTTGCTATTTTCACACATCACTTCAGCTAGTAGAAAAAAACACCGTCTCTAACTGTAATTATTTGGATTTGGTAAACCTAATGAGGCCCTCTTAGCCTTCAACAACAAATGTAGAATGTAAATGGCAATAATTTTCCTGAGATCTTAGAGAAATGAGATGTAAAGAATATTAATCTGTTTTTCTTTGGATGCTATTATTGGTTCAGGAGCACAAGCTTTTACCCTTGAGAACATCCTCTATTCTCTGTGTATTCCATCTACTAAGATCGAATAACTAGAGAGCTTTCCCATTACCTAATTGTTTTCAGAAATATTAAATTTGAATTAAGAACAAATATTTTGCCTCCATAAATATGACTTTCCCTAGCAACTCATGTAATTGCATAAATGATAGCCTATCTCCCTAAAGGCTTCTAGACATTCAGGAAAGGGAGCAAGCTGACTCTGTCACTTATCACCTACACAAAACAATCAATCCTTCATTGCCTGCTCTGTGAAAACTGAGTTGAGTCCTTGAAATATTTTCCTTTGCCAGCTGGCAAAATGCTAAACTTTGTCAGTAGAGGTCGCTGGAGGGACATGGCAAAGGAAGGTATTCTTACTGGGCACCCTGCACTTCTTTTGCCCAGATCTGCAGTGCAGGTGGCAACACAGCTCCTCCAATGGCCAGCTGCTCTCCTCGGTACCCCATTTGATCATTTTCATAGCATAGTGCTTCCCACAAGACAAGTCTCCCAAATTAACTTTCCCCACACCCAAGAAAGCAGATTTCGGTACATTCCAGAGCGTGGATATCAAGCAATTTCACCAGCATGGCACCACTACTAGCACTTCTGAGCCACTCAGTGAACCACAGCTGCGGGAAGGAGGAAGGGGCTCTTCTCTGGGTCCCCGTCTTAGTCCTAAGGGTAGCAGCTCCTCCTTATAGATAATACTTCTGGACTCTTTCATTACCTCTTACTGGCCAATCCCTGATTACCCAAGTTCTGTGTTGGAGTTTGTAATTCTTTACATTATGCTTTCCTTGATCAAGTTACTGTGCGGTTTCCATATCAGAATTGGACCCTAACAGACACATGTGCTCTTATAGCTGAGAATACCCAACTAGACAAGCAGATAGGTGAGCTGCCATGCAGTTAACAGTGCTAGCTGTCATTTTTTTCAGTGAAAGTTGACAGCCCAGAAAGAGGGAGACATTGCTGTTCTGTGCAGAATCCTGGGTTAGAAAGATCAGGCACAAAAAGAGATAGAGTGGCACCCTTAAGGAGTTGACTAACCAGCTGGAGACACCAGGCACACACAAACTAACATTTCAAGGCAGTGAGTTGCTGAAAGCCCAGTAAGGGTCATGGGCAAAACTGCTACAAGGCAGTGATGAGTCTCAGACTAAGAGCCTAATAGTTTCCATCTTGTCGTAGCCAAAGACTAATTATCTGCAAAAGCCCTGTGCCACAGAAAAAGGGGTCTCTCTCCAAACGGTCCTCCAAATCATGCTTTGCCCTCCAATAATGGGGTATTTCCCAAATCCATGGACTCCTCACTATGACCAGTTGCCTCTCACTTAACTGTCAAGACAGAGGACTACGTAAACATGTGAACAGAGAAAAATAATTTTAAAAAGGAAAAGCTGTTTGAATTTAAGTGTGTCTTTGACAGGGACAATGCTTCCTAAAATATTTTAAAGAAGAGATTAGGGAAACATGGGGACTATAATCTGTCAAAGCCGAATAAAAATGCCTTCAACAAAGCCCCTCCACATGAGGCTATTAAGGAAACCCAATAACCACACGGTGGAGAATAAAACCCTGTCACTCACTGAAAGACAGAAAAGTGATTCAGAGCAGAAAGCAGGAATAAAGAGACAACCATGGGCTCACTACAAGAGTAACAGCGGGGAAGCTTGGAAAGAGAAGCCCAAGAACAGGAGGGTTCCAGTGAACCATCTGGAAAGTGGGAGAGAATATCAAAGGCAGCAAAAGTGAGATTTTCTAATGATAAATGACAGCGGTTTTTTCTGACAAGGATGAACCACAAAGGATGCCAAAGGGGTGTTCAAAAAGAAGCGCCTCACTCCAGCGGGAAGGAATCGTGAGGGCAGGAGCAGCCTCCGTGGAAGGAGCCCCTCACCCACAGTGGTTGAGGACAGTGGTTTGAGGACAGTGGTTCTCAAACGTGTAAGTCTCAACATCCTTCTACGCTCCTAAAATCCCTCCATGAGGAAATGGCGAATGAGCATGATTATGTTTAAAGGGGTGGGTGGTATATGAACTGAACACACACCTCTTGATGAAGGGCCATTCCAGTAATGGGTTGTGGTCAAAATTATACAAAAAGCTTACTTCTCTGTACACCTTCACTCATCCTCTTTTCCGAAAAGATTTCCCTTTATTTCTGTGTGAATATTTGTAAATTATATATTAATTATGTAATATTTATAACTTCTCCACAATTATGCCTTCATTTGTTAAGGTGTAAGGTTATATATTTCATAGATTGGTAAAAATTTCAAAACATTATAGGGACTAAGATAAGGTAGGCAATGCTTTATTTTGCCAAGTACAGGCATATGCTTAAAATACTATCACCATCACTTCATAAGAGAAATTGCATTTTAACACTCAGGAAAGTGGCAAGGAAATCATCCTAGAACAGAGGAGAGCTCTTTAAAATAAATAAATATACCTTTATAAAAATTGGTATATTGCTCTTATATTTTTTATTTTCCTGTAAAATCAACAAAAACTCGGTCATGGACCAAGACTGGTTAATACACTCAAGTTTGAGAACTACTAGCAAGAAGGACAAGAAACAGATATGCACATTCTTGTATAAAATTTAAGAAAACAAGAGGCATTTAGAATTTTAAATAATAATAATAATAATGGAGACAGAATCTGGAAGAAAAGAAGGCTCATTATGAATCGTCTTAAATTCAGGAGGAAGTATTGCCTGCACATGTGTGTACACGACAGAAAAATCCTGGAAGAAACAGACCCAGAGGATGTTATCAAAGGGGAATGAAGACAAAATAAGGAGGCAAACAGTCTGCAGCCAAGACTGGAGAACAACCTGCGGAATGCCTGTCTCTCACGCAACTCCTCTGTCCATCCTCAGGGCCCACACACAAGTGTGCATCTGGTGAAACACGACAAGGTGCCACCAGGGAGAGTGGGAAAACAGAACTTGTCTGAGCACTGGTCCACACATGCATGTTTCAACTGACATTTTTAATCAGATTAAATAGACACAGGATTTGTAAGAGTTTCCTCTGGTGGGCCTGCCAAATACTTGAAATTCACCATTCTTTGCAAACTAAATGTCTCAAATGTTTTCTAAAAATTTCGTTTGGAAGCTATAGAACAGTGGTTCTCAAACATGTAAGTCTCAAAATCCTTCTATGCTCCTAAAAAGTATAAAATATTGCATTGTTTGCAAAGAATGATATGATGCCTGATCTCATTCACCCTCCTTCCACATCATAAATAATCACGACCTTGATTTTTGTGTTTATTATTTCCATATATTTTTTCACATCTACTTTTATGTTTATCTAGCTGGATTAAAGAAAAATTGTGTTTGTGTGCATAAAAAGAGAAATAGACAAAGACAGATGAGAAAGAATATAAGCAAGTCCATAAGAACACACATTGTCGGGCATGTTTTTGTTATTGGGTGCATTCTGAATATCCATTTAAAAAGATATGATAGTTTAGTACCACTCGCGGTGTACTTGTTTCCCTCAAGATTGCATTAAAACCCATCCATGTTGATACAAGTACCTCTAGATCGTTTATGTTAATTGCTATAAAGTATTCAATATAAAAACAGAGCCCATTTTATCTATCCTTGCTCCTCTTGATGGGTTTTTGAGACTTTTTAACACTTAAAGAAAAAAATGCCAAATCACATAGCATACAATTTTTGTTTTCATTGGAAACTACCAAATTACCCTCCAAAGTGGCAGTAACTATATACACTCCCAATAGAAGGCTATAAGATGGACAGTTCCTCTAGGCCTTTGGTATTGTGAGGATTATCAAATTTTGCTAATCTGCTGAGTTTGGAATCATATTTGGTTGTTTTAATTTGCATTTTCTTGTTTATTGATAAAGCTGGTCCTTGTTTATCAGCCAGTCATGTGCCTTCTTCTTACACAATAAATCATACACATAAAAGTATATGAGTATGACATGTTTAAAGAATAGTAAAAGCACACACGTGTGCTCACCACCTATATGCATTTTCAGAAAGGAGAACAGTGTCGAAAGATTGACAGAAGATTGGTAGTGATCATGTAAAAGAAAGTCTCAGGATGAAAAAAAGAATCCAGTAGGAATATGTCTGACAACACAGCAAATATCTCCACCCAGCACGTAGAAATGTCTCATAACTTTGATTATGGAGACTTTTATTAGGCAGATGTTTTAACACAATGTAGCCAACTTTAGCACTTTTTTCCCTTATGGATTTTTCTTGTTCAAGAATTCTCATGTTTATGATATTATATTCTATCAGAGTAAAAATGACAATCTCCTATATTTTCTTCCAAAAGTTTTAAAGATTTCTTTTTCACAAATGACTTATTAATCCATCCATTTGATGGATTTAGAGTGAGGTAGAGATCCACTGTTTTCCTATAGAGATAACTGTCTCAGAACAATTAATGTAGAATCCATCACCTCCCACTTATGTGATATGAAATATCACTTATATTTCATAAGTTCTCAAATATGAAGTAGAGCTGTTGCAATGTTCTCTACCCAATTAACCTTGTGCCATTACTAAACTATCTTTACAACTACACAAGTATAAGTCTTAATACCTGGGGCTCTTTCTATAAATTTTAAGATTAGTCCCTCAATTTTTCCAAAATATCCAGTGAAAATTTTGGTTGGATTTGCGCTGGATTTGTAGATTAATTTTGGATGAATTGTCATCTTCATGATATTGTTTTCCTATCTATGAATCTACAAATATGGTAAATCTCTCCTTATGTTCTTCTATGTCTTTTAATAATATTTAATAATTTTATCCATAAATATCTCAAATATCTGATGCAAGATTTATACCTAGGTACTGAAATATTTTAGTTGATACTACAAATAAAATGTGTTATTATATTTGGTAATTGGTTCTTACTTATGGATAAAAACATTAATTTTTCTATATTGTCCCTGAATCCAACAACTTTGTTGAATTGTCTTGTAAGTTCTAATAGTTGATCTGTATATTCTTTTTCTAGGTAAAGCATCAAATCCTCTACAAATAAAGCAGTTTTATCTATGTTTTCCAATGCTTATGCCTTCTATTTCTCTTTCTGGCTTACTGCATAAGCTAGAATTTACCACATAATGATGAACAGTGATAGGAAGGAATCCTGAATTGTGGCTAATTTGGATAGAAATATTTAGAATGATGCACCATTAATTATGTTTGCTGTAAGAGCTTCATGGATTTCATTTGTAAAGTCAAGGAAGTTTCCCTCTATTTCTAATTTGCTAAAAGTTTTTATCATGAGTCATTAATGTCATCAAATGCTTTTTTAATGTCATGAGACATTAAATGCAATCATTTTTCTATATCTATTGAGATGATCACATGCTTTTTCTCCTTATATCAGTTAATACAGTACAATGTAATGTATATGCAATAATAATGTGGTAGGACACAATAAATCAATGAATTGAATTTTCAAATATTTCATTTAATAATTCTATATCTGTTCATTAAAAAGGAATAATCTATGTTCATAATGATGAAACTTCAAAAGTTTTCTTTCTTATCTAGTTGGGATATTAACATGTCTAACCTCATAAAATGAGCTTGGTAGGACTCTCTTTTCTATGTTCTGAAACAGATTGTACAAGTAATTCATGATTTGGTAAAAACTTGTGTAAAATCATCTGAGGCTGATGGAGGAAAGGCTATTAATTTTAGAGTTAATTGCTTTCAGTTTTCTATTACATGTAATGAATGCTTTTATCTTTAATTTATCCTGCACTCTTTTTTTATATTAATAGTTGTCTTCCCCATGAAAGCAGGGACCATCTCATGACTGTCTGATATCTTCTTACAGTCTTGAATCCCAGTACATATTCAGCCAATGTTTTTGACTGACTGACGGATCCCAGTGTTTTCCTTCAGTCTTTTCCCTTAGCCTTTTATTTGGAAATTTTCAAACGTATGCACGAATAGAAAGGATGATGATTTCTCTGCATCCAACACCCAGTTTCAATAATTAACAATTATTAATCCTCTTACATCCATCTCCAAATGCCTAATCCACCTTCCCACATTGTTTTGAAGAACATCACAGACATCAGATCGTTTTGCCCTTAGGTATTTCAATATGTATCTCTAAAACAAAATGACTTCATAAAAATACAATACCATTTATCACATCTAAAAAATAAAAACAAAAAAGAACTGAATTTCAAATATTCAGTTAGTCAGTGCTCAAATTTCCAGTGGTCTCAAATGTCATGGTTTTTTTTTCTTTAAAAATAGGATCTACACATTGTGACTGATAGATCTTTCTTTTAATCTACGGGTATCGTTTTCATCCCCTTTTATTTTTCTTGCAATCATTTGAAGAAATTGGGTCCTTTATCCCATAGAGCAGCGCTTCTCAAGCCATAGCAAAGGAATAGTTTTAGATTTCCCAAGGATCACAAACTGATACATGGGCCTACTGCTACTGCATAGACTGGGCACACTCAACACACCAAGAGTATTTAAGGACACTTGAACCCATCCACACACACTGTTCAACAAAAGAAGTCCACTAATAACGTGCTTGAATACAATGGCATAAACATTTCTAAACCCTTAGCATTGGTTAAACATTTCCTAGTACTTACTCTTGAGTCCTCTATTTATTTCATTCTGCAGATCACACCTCCAGTAGACCTGCTACACAATTTCCCACAGCCTGAATATGTCCTACACATATGGTAGTTGGGTCTAGAGAATTAATCAGACTCAAGTCCAACATTTTGGGGGAGACTCTATAGTTGGTATTGTATCCTTCCTTCAGGAGACACGTTAACTGTGGTTGTCCCTTTATATTAATGTCTAATCCACCTTCCCACATTATGTTGAAGATTTAGTGTGAGGTAGAGATCCACTGTTTTCCTAGACAGATGACGTCAGTAGTCACTGATGAACAGTGATACTGGTACTTTGAGCCAAAGTCTCTCCCGTAAATTTGATTGTGGAAGTTTGTTCTCTGAGAGACCCCTAAGGAAGCTCTCCTTTTCTCTCAAGTACTGCTGTGTCCCTATACTACCTGTTTCTGATACAGTGCAGAACTTCTAGCTGTTCATTGTGACTTCCCATGCATTTGTGAGGATTTAGGGAGAACTTGTCACCTAATTGTGTTGTAGATGTTGTCTGCGGTATTTGGTTTTGCTATTCTAGTTGCTCTCTCAATTTGGTAAGATTTGGGGATATTCAAAGACTATACACCCACCTCCCTTCCACTTTTTTTGTAATAAAGTCATTTTTAGCATCATAAATTGAACACTTAATTTGATGATTTCCATTTTCAATTTTTAAAATAAACATATCTAAAGCGAAAGATATGACAAATACCCTTTTAGCTAACATCATCAGTTTTGTTTTTCTAATGTTAACAGTGATCCTACGGCTTAGGTGGGGAATACCAAGTTTCTCCATAATGAAGTGACTATGGTTCCCCACATTTGAGCAGTTCAAAGTATTTTCATTGCTGGTCAGTGATAAGTAATTTGTAATTTATTGCTAATATTTCTCTTTAACCCATGAAGCTATACTTGTATATTTTTAAATTTCTGAGAATATGGAACATTTTTATTATACTTTCTTATTGCTTTCTACATAAACTACACTGAAGTCAGGCAGGCAAAGTTCTATTTATGTTGTTGATTCTTTGACATTTGTTTAGACTTTGACTGTCAATTAGTAATGCATAAGTAATTTTTAGAAATCCATATGACTATACACTTCTGACATTTGCATATAAAACTCCATGTATGTGCATGGTTCTGCATGTGTGTTTATACACATATACATATATAATTGTGTATGTGTGTATATATATGTTTATGGCTACCAAATTTTAAAAATAAATATAAATCAAACTTGTCAACCACCTTTTCAGACTGTCTGTATCTTTACACATTTTAACTTCGTAACCCATTGGTTTCTGACCAAGGTCACTTAAAATCTTCTAACATGGTTATAAATTTGTCAAACTTAACTTTTAATTCTTCAGTTTTGCTTTATGTACTAAGCCTATGATGTTGAATACATAAAAATTCTTAATTCATAAAGTTTCCTGATTGAGGAACTACCCCTCTTTGTTACTGCTTGTCACTTTTTTCATAAATTCTATTTTACATAATATTAATATTGCTGTACCAACTTTCTTTTGATAATTATTTGCTTGATATCTCTTTTTCCTGCCCCTTATTTTCACCCTTTGGTGTGGTTTTGTTTCAGGTTTCTCTAACTGAAAAATATCCAATCTGATAATGTGTGTCTTTAGTAAGTTTAACCCATTTAAATTCATGAATACTGATGTATTTGGACTTATATCTACATCCTTAATTTGGGGTTTCTATTTACCATATTTTTTTCATTCCTTTTTCCTGTCTGTTAAATTGAGATCATGCTCTACATTCCTCCTTTTCTACTCCAACTGTTTGCAATGTATACATTGTACTGCAATCTAATTTTTTTCCAACAAAGTCTGAAGTTACTCAGTAATTTTATCCTATCCCCAAATATGACAAGAGCCTTAGCAGACTTTCAATATCTATTGATTACTCCCCCCAATTTATTACTGTTCACTAGAGTTTTCATTTTACTATTTTTCAAAATACAAAAGATTTTTTTCCACAATTAATAGCTAAGTGTATAGATTACTGTGACTCATCCATTTCTATACTTATCATTGTTTTTTTACCCTGCACCTCTGTATTTACTTTTCTTCTTGCTGAAATACACGTTATAGTGATGAAAGTAATAATTACAAAGATTAAACAACAAAAATACCTTAAAAGATAATAATAAAATGTTTAAAATTGTCTCTGTAACATTATTACAACTCTAAAAATCCTATTCATAGGGGAATAAACTGAAAGACGAAAAAACATTTTGTTTAGAGTTAAGATTAGGTCAGAGTTAGTACCAACACTTTAGTTGAGGTTAGGAATTCAGAAAACACCACAATCTTCTGACTCCACTCTCCATAGCATTCTTGGAACCAAAACTCCCCTTTGGGTCATAAGCAGGTCCCACGTAGAAAGGAGTGTCATGAAAAAAAGCAGAATACAGAAAAACAGGCAATGAATTCAGAAGAGCTGAGTTCCAGTTCTAGGCATGTTACTAACTGCTTCAGCAACTTTGGGTAAGTCACTAAACCTTTCGGGACCTCATTCCTCATGGCTGAAGTCAAAATGATCTACCTTGCGAGGTTTTTATTAAGAGGAGTAAACGAAGCAATGAACACAGATGCACCTTATATAAGAAGATTAGATACATACATACACATGAGCATAATTTTTTAACTATACGCAGAATATATAGTAGCATCATCAGTTTAGATTAGTAATTTGTACTAACTACCAAATTGGACTGGACCCAAAACAAATATGAAACAAGGTGAAGGCTAATTTCCTATCCACTTCCTATTTCCCATCTTCTGTGGCAGCCTTGATTTTCCCTCCATTAAAATGCTAGAAGTGCCTGGCAGCCTTCATTGCCTCTTTCATGGCATGCAGGCTTACAAATCAGAGCACACAGTCCTTTCTTATTTCTTTAATGAGGTAAGCTGGGCTGAGCACCTGTCTGCTACTGTGACCTGGACGTCATATTACTGGCATCACAGCTCCTCTTGTACATTAATTTTAAATGACATTCTATCACTTGGTCATATTTCCCAGATTTTGACCTGTCTTTATTCATCTCATATTAGTTCCCTAATAAATCTATATCCTTATTAATCATTATTTTTCCTAACTTGGAAAATAGTCAGCTATTCCAAGTAGTGAGAATGCTCATTTGAGATCCCCCGAGATCCAGCACGGATGGCCTTTTTGTGTAAGGCTAAGCTATTACTGTATTATCACAGAGTCGCAAAAGAACAGCACATCCAGAGGTAAACAGAAAGAAAAAGGAGAGAAGGGGAGGGCAGTCCTGTTCAGTTATCTCCTGCTATAGGACTTATAGAATACAACAGAACAATGGTTACCTATTGGCCTAAGGATGCTATACTATTTGTTTTCATATTAATAACTCATTTAGCTTACGTTGGCAGGAGAGAGTTTTGTGACGATAATAATTCCTCCTGTTCCAGTGAACATGTCTGGAAGGGACATTGCTAAGGAAGTAAAATGAAATACACCCTGTGCTTAGTTTAACGCATTTGTTTCTTATATAAAAACAGAGATGGTTTTTAAAACATGAGTGAGGGACAAGTGGTATGGCAAGTTTTTAGGAAATGGAATCAAGCTTTTAGGGATTTCAGAATTTGCAAAAAAAAAAACAACAAAAAAAGATGCACACAACGTATTAGGATAACATCTAACAGATGCACACAACATATTAGGATAACATCTAACAGACGCAAGGAGTTGGGAAAAGGCTCCATGCATCATCCTAACACATGCTTCAAGAATAGCAGCAATTAAGACATCCCACAGCAATTAAGACATCTCACAGCAACATGCAAAGCCAGGGAGGGTGAGGAAAGTGCCTGGGGACAAGACACAGTTTACAGCCCAAGCCAATAAATCATCAGGCCCCTAAGGTACCTAAGAAATTCATTTCTCTCTAACAGCAAGAAAATATAATTTACTTCTCCTAACAGAATTAAGAATGACCTGACCACAGGTTTCCATGTTGCACCTTCAGCCATCCTGGATTAAAGGTGAATTTGAGCCACAGACTATTCTCCATTCATAAGAAGTAACCCAGAGAATGGCGGGTCAGTATTGAGAGAAAGGATAAGGACAGACAACTGGAAACTAAGGCTTACCAATTTCTGTAGTTACTAACACAACAAAGCGGTCAAAAAGTACTGGGGCACACCTATACACAAGATGTCATTAAGTATGGATGATTCACTAAGGCAAAATAAGGCAAGCAAGGATGACTATGCTGGTCTCATCGAGCTAAATGTTAGTGACCTCAACATAAAATGTCTATGACATCCTTCAGCGATGAGAAACATCTCAAGACTCACCTCATGCTTGGAGAAGAGCCGCACGGCCTCCAGCTGGTGGAAAATAGGGTAGTGCTGGGAGTCGATCTGGTCACGCCTGTAGACATCACCCACCACCAGGAAGGCATCCAGTCCCGCGTGCAGCAAGTCCCACTGGTGTGCAGACGTGTGCGCTCTCAGCATGTGAGTCCGATTCAGGTAATAGTTGTCCCCCTTCTTCCTGCTGGGGTGATCAGCTGGGATGAGCAGGCTGTCAAAGTTCTGCCAGGTCGTGACCACTGGAGAAAGGTTGTCGTAGACCGAGAACAACGGGGTCCCAAAGCGGCCCACATACTGCTTGTAGAAGTGCTCCTTCACCCTCTCCTTGATCAGCCACAGAGGGTGATGCTGCTGGTTGTGCAGGTTCCTGCCAACTCTGGTGAGGACCTTCCGGGTGAGGTTGCTGTGGTCGTCCTGAGGGTAGGATTTGCCCAGCAGCTCCACCACACTGCCTGGAGCTCTTTGGGTGGCACACTCTGCTGCAGGAGGCCTCGATCCCCAGGCCTGGTGCTGATGGCCTCTGGAGATGTGACTGGCCTTACTCACCAGGTAGACATATGCATGGGCACCTCTCCTGAGAGCTGAGCCCACCATTGTAGAAACTTCTCACAGGTTCTGGAAAGAGCACACAGGCAAAGCACAAGTCAGGTGTCACTCTGTGGAAAGCAAGTGTGTTCTTTGCATCTCCCACCAGCTCCCTCTTGTCCTACTGGCATGTTTCCCCCACTACGACCTCCACACAGCTGAAAGAGCCAATTAAAGAAATCTGACAGACATGTGATACTTAATACACTAAATGAAAAGATTCCTGGAAGTCACTTTTATATCCCTAATCTCTAGTTGTCCTTCCTTTGTCATTCAGATCCTTGGCTTTGTAGAAAACCTCGTTTATTATGTTATCATGTCCTGAACTCGTGATGTGGAAAAAAACTGTAAACACGACAACCTTTACATTATAGAACCAAAAAACTTCAGAGAGATCCCCTAAAATACAGAACTTAATTGGACCCTATTAAGGGTCCCACTAATAAAGGAAGCAAATGATTAGACAGAGGCTTCCGAAGGAGAGTGGAAGAGAAGAGATTTAAGAGCCATCCTTCACATTTCTGCCGACCATCCTCATAACTACAGAGTTCTCTTTATCTTTGACATAGCATAACTTCTGTATTACTTCACTAGATCACAAAGTGACATTACTAATTTTTTTAAAAAGTTTTAAACAAAATACACCACTTTAGATTGTGGTTAACTTTAATATTTTAAAGATAAAATAGAAAATCTCAGGAAATATTGTACAAAGTGATAGACTATATCAATGGACAGCTGTAAATGCAAATCTTCTCACATCTGGTCATGTCACTTAAACTTAATACCTTTGTGGCATCCTCTCAATTACACCTTTGGCAAAAGGGCAAATTTCTACTACACACCCACAATTAACCAGAAACAGGACTAAACTTGTTGGGGAAGAGTGACAGAGCAGCCAGAAGGCAGAGCACTGACCTAGATTTTTAAGTAAATAAAATGCCAAACTTTACAGCTGAAAGTCACCTCAGCTGTCATCTAGTATAGGCGGTTCAAGTCACGGATGAGGTGAGAAGGACCTAAGTATAACTGGCAAAACTCTAAGGTATTGAAAGAGTTCAATAAGACAACCGCAAAGGGCTGTGAACCACTCACACAGTGTCTTCTTCCCACTGCCACAGAAGCCAGTTTTAAACTCACTCAGGGATCCCAATAAGGAGAGTCTTGAGATGTCACATCCCATTGTTCACAAATAATTTACATTCACAAACTTAAATTATAAAAATCCATCTTCTAAAATGTGGAATTCTTCCCTACCGGGCTATTTTAAAGCATACAACTATGTGGCTGTTTTACTTCAAGGGCCGTGCAATCATACCAAGAAAATATGTAACTTCATGATATGAAGCTGCATTAGCAAAGAATTATATTGTTCCAAGTCACTATCAAAAGCACAGTCTGTCCCTGGACAACACAATCCACCTGACTCCAAATTGGAACTGAGGAAATCTAGCTGCAAGTTGAATGGCTGTGCTTGTGTGTGATTGCTTCTTAGAAGCTGTGCACAGCACCTTTGTCTGAGACTGTCATCATGGGAGACATTTTCAAAGATACCCAGGAACTCTCTGGTTTTATTCACTTATGGCGTTATTTTGTCAGAGTTGTTTCAAAAGGGCTTTTGGCTGAGCTTCAACTGAAATGTCTTCCCATCTAGTGTTCAGTGACTTGTCACTGCAGTGGATATGAATTTTAAACATGCATATGCAGCCTTACACATCTTGGCACAAAATCAAACTGTTAGGTTATTAGCTACCTAGCTCAGCACCCTTGCCAAAACACAAGAAAAGCTTTCTTCCTCCCAAAGGCATATGTGTTAGACAAAGTTCAGAATTGTTCTCGGAAAGGTGCTTCTGATCCAGTTATTTGTGGGCTGCTGTCGATGCTTTTCCTTCCCAGTTTCCAGCTCTTCACACATCCAAACCCACACTTGGGTTCCATTCCCAGGGATGTGCCCCAGCCTCGTGTCCCTTCCTTGCTCTCCTCACGCAACCCCCAGCTTGCCGATGAAAGTTTGAGGTTCTTGCCCTGGTTTTCAGGCCTTCTATCTATCTGCTCAGCCCTGCTTACATTCTCCACTGTCATTCACCCCACACAGAAAAGTATCTGTCCTTTCTGTTACTATCTCTAACAGAGAGAGATGGATGACTAGGAGAGCCTTCCCACTTCTATCTGAGAAGTGACTTCCTTTCCTTCTACCTCTATCGAATTTCTCTATAAGAAATATATCATCTGGAAATACATAAGAGACCCAGGAGGATAAGACCAACGACATTCATACTTCTATTAATACATTGTTCTTCCATTTCATCCCTTCAACAGTTCTGTGATGTAAGTATTGTTCGTACCACTTTACCAACAAAGAATATAAAGCTCAAAAAGATCACGTAACTAGCATAAATTCATATGCCTAGCTAGCCATGAGACAGTTCAGAATTCTTGGCAATTCAAATATAGCTGACCCTCAAACAACATGGATTGAACTGTGCAGATCCACTTACATGCAGATTCTTTTCAGTAACAGTTACACTGAGTGTGCCTGCCCTTCCTGCCTCCCCTTCCGCCTCCCCTATCTCTTCTACCTCTGCCACCCCTGAGAAGGCAAGACCAACCCCTCCTCTTCCTCTTCAGCCTACTCAACATGAAGATAAGAATAAAGATCTTTAGGATGATCTACTTCCACTTAATAAATAGTAAATACATTTTCTTTCCTCATGATTTTCTTAATAACATTTTCTTTTCTCTAGTTTATTGTAATACAGTATATAATGCCTATAACATACAAAATATGTGTTAATCAATTGTTTATGTTATCAGTAAAGCCTCCAGTTAACAATTAATAGTTAAGTTAGGGGAAGTCAAAAGGTATACAGGAATTTTCAACTGACTGAGGGAGGGTAATCAGTTGTCCAGGGGTCAAGTGCATTTCTCAGTAGGGTGTGGTGGCTCACGCCTATGATCCTAACACTCTGGAAGGCCAAGGCGAAAGGATCACTTGGGCCCAGGAGTTTGAGAGCAGCCTGGGCAACATGACAAGACCCTATCTCTACAAAAAAAAAAAAAAAAAAAAAATTTTATTTAATAAATTAGCCGGGTATGGTGGCACACACCTGCAGTCCCAGCTACTGGGGAGCTAAGGCAGGAGGACTGCATGAACCCAGGAGTTCAGGCTTCAGTAAGCCAGGATTGCACCACTGCACTCCAGCTTGGGTGACAGAGTGAGACTCTGCCTCACTAAAAAAAAAAAAAAAAAAAAAAAAAAAAAGAAAGTATACTTCTCAATCAAAGGTCCAAGATTGTTAAGTTCAAATGGTATCTCTGCAAGGACCTCCCTTAACTTCTATTTTATCTAATTGAGATTATACATCAATGTGTTTTTAAATACATAAATAAATGCATGAATAAGTAAATCCAATAAAACACATTAGCTTAGATAGTAAAAATGAAATAAGTATTTACAGACCCAAGGGCCAAATCTGCCCACAGTAGTCTGTTTGGGGTTTTTTTTTTTGGCTTTGGCTTTTTTTTGTTTCTGAGACAGGGTCTTACTCTGTCACCCAGGCTGGAGTGCAGTGGGATGATCATGGCTTACTGGAGCATCAACCTCCCAGACTCAAGTGATCCTCCTGTCTCAGGCTCCAGTGGCTCCCTGCCCCAGAGATAGCTAGGACTACAGGTGCAAGCCACTATGCCCGGCTAGCTTTTGTATTTTTTGTAGAGATGAGGTTTCGCCACATTGCCCAGGCTGGTCTCAAACTCCTGCCTCAAGTGAGCTGCCCACCTCAGCCTCCCAAAGTGCTGGGATTACAGGCTTAAGCCATCGTGCCTTGCCCATAGTCTGTTTTTACAAATAAAGTTTGTTGGAACACAGCAACAGCCATTTCTTGATTTATCATTTGCCATGGCTTTCTTGCTATCAAGGTAAGATTGAATAGCTGCTATAGAGATTGTGTTGCTCACAAAGCCTAAATACTCACTCTCTGGTCTGTTATAGAGTTTGCTGAGCCCTGTTTTAGCTTAACCTACTGAAAAATTTTTCTACACTATTAATAAAATCTTCCTAGTCACAAATATATGTAGATTATAAAGTCACAAAAAAGGAGCAAGAATACAAATGTGGACGTGAAGTATGTTAGCACTGGTACAAAAGAAACAATCAGACCAACTATAAGAAGAGAAAATACAATATAATGGGCAATAGGCCAGACTTCGCAGAGATACTAATGTTGGTTTGATCCTAGGTTGATCTCTTAGGTGCCATGTATCATCCTTAGAAACGTTATTTGACCCTTCTGGCCTCAAGGTTCTCATCTGTAAAACAGAGAAATATAATACTTATCTCATAATGAAAAGATTATACTAGATCATGTTCATCAGCTAATTAACTCATTGCCCAGTGTGTAACGGGTAAGATGAGCTGAATTCAGGGTTAAAAGTGACCCAGAGATTTCTAGAGATCGGGTAACGGATGAACTAATAAAGTCATTCACTGACACAGAGAACTCAGAATGGATTTTTGTTGTTTGTTCAGATCATCTTTTGTAGAGGGAAACAGATTTGGACAATGGAAGTTCAGTATGAATGAGATAGCCACATTACAATTTCTGTAAGGCAATTCGAGTTATATTATAGTTTGGAAATGAGGTAAGACATTAATCCTGGAAATGTAGACCTTGGAGGTAATTTGCATAGACGTAAGAGTTAATATCACAAGCGTATATAAGAATCCATGGGAGGCTAAGAGCAAGATATAAGTGGGCAAAAGATAGAAGAATACTTGGAACTTATCATATTTAAGGGAAGGGGATGTAAGGAGTAAGACAGAGGGGACGTAAAGGGTGCCACAGCACAGAAGTCAGGGGAAAAGACATCTAGAAGGAAACGGGCCTGTTTCCTGGACCCAAATACCACTCAATGTGCAATGTTTAGCATGCCGTATTATTACTACCTGCTGTTGTCTGTATTCCTACTAGCCTGTGTGGTTCTTGAGAGTAGAACACACAAACACATATATATACACATACTCTTTCTCTCCTCTCTCTCTTATATTTATCATCGTATGCCCATAATCTAGCACTACATGTGATGCTGGGTGGAAGACGCGGGAAGAAGAGAAATAGGAAGAAAAAGAAAAGAATGGAAGGAAATTGGTCAGCAAAAACAAAACAAAGAAGGCTGCCTCTTTGGAAGGGGCAGTAAAGAACTATTTAAAAACTCAATAGAGTGAAGAGACAACTCACAGAATGGGAAAAAGTATTTACAAGCCATGTATCTGGGAAAAAGCTAATGTCCAAAATACATAAGGAACTCACGCAACTCAACAGCAAGAAAGCAAATAACTTAAAAATGGGCAAAGGGGCTGGGCGAGGTGGCTCATGCCTGTAATCCCAGCACTTTGGGAGGCCGAGGTGGGTGGAGCATGAGGGCAGGAGAACGAGACCATCCTGGCTAACACGGTGAAACCCCATCTCTACTAAAAATATAAAAAATTAGCCAAGCATGGTGGCGGGCACCTGTAGTCCCAGCTACTTGGGAGGCTGAGGCAGGAGAAT